>NC_000004.12:82406229-82557744 GCF_000001405.40 Homo sapiens | reverse complement strand
AAAAAAAAAAGAAAAAGAAAAGAAAAACCACTTGTACTTGCTCTGAAGAAGATATTTTGTGCTGAAGTTCAACCCTACTCTAAAAACTGTTTCTCTTTTTAATTTCTATGTGTCTGCTAGCCTCAATAATAAGCATCACCCAGAGTTGTTTAGATGCCTGGCCCCTCGTGTCGGTGTTCATGAACTTGGGCTTATTTGCTCTTTTGCACATTACAGATCATGTATTCTTAGAGTCAGTTTCTGTACGTTTCAATTTTTCAAGGGAGAGGAGGTTCAGAGAAAGGTAGGAAGTAGGTAGTGATGCACAACTCTCGCACTCTTCCCTTGATTACAATCACAGAGACCCTGTGAAAAGTCTGACAAATGGGTACCCCTGGCTCCAGGAGCAGCTGAAGCCTCTGCCTCTGTTGGTTTCTGCCCTTCTTGTCTGGTTTCTTTCTCTTAGGTTTCAAACCCAGATCCTCTTGCTCAAGTCTAGCCTGTGGAGATTACCAAATCCACTTAAGGTGTAACCTACCATTATTTTTAGTAAAGCCATTAAAATGGGATTTGATTTAGCATCAAGCATGTTGTTTCCATTTTTAAACTAATTTGCTTTGATTAAACCCATTATTTTGATCATGGAGAGGGACATGTTGTTAATTAGACTGTTTTACAAGACACTGCCTCTCATGTTTCTTGGGTGAGTGATGCTCCCGCACCCAGCATAGGCATCTAGGGTACTTCTCTCCAGGCCAGAGCTCAGGGTCCTGGGGGTTCCCCTCCTCTGGAAGGGACTCTTCCTCAATCAATTATTTAAAAATTTATTGACTATGTTTGTGCCTACTAATTATAGGTTGAAATAACTCCCAAATTATCTCTGTGTTGAAGATATTAACACCCCCTGATAACATTTCCCAAATTAGTGTCCATCCCATAGGGTGATGGGGATGCTTGAATAAATGCTCCATATAATCTTTTTTATTATTTTTTTTTGGAGATTTATAATGCACAATAGCATGGTAAAGCCTCTAAGATGAGATACATATACTTATTTAACTTTTTATTGTTATTGTTTTCTGTTCTTTTCTTTTCTCTTTTAATAGAGACAGAGTCTCACTCACTCTGTCACCCAGAATGCTCAGTGCATTCTTGAACTCCTGTCCTCAAGGGATCCGCCCACCTCAGCCCCCCAAGTAGCTGGAACTACAGGCGTGTGCCACCATGCCTGGCTGTTAGTGTTTTCAAAACAATTTTTCTTACAACACTTACTGTAGTATTTTTCAAATTACATGTCTTGGGTCATAAAATCAATTGAGCAGGTTAGGATCAGCATTTTTCTTGATGAAATAAAATGTCTAATAGAAGTGGTCACTGTGCATCCTTTTTATTGACGGTTACTAGTGTTTGATGAAACTTTGGCTCCTCCATGTATAACAAGTACCAGGCCACAAGGCAGTGGAGAGTAGTGGTTCAGAGCACTAGAGAGTCTGGGCACGTTGGCTCACGCCTGTAATCCCAACACTCTGGGAGGCCAAGGCGGGTGGATCACTCGAGGTCAGGAGTTCAAGACCAGCCTGGCCAACATGGCAAAACCCCGTCTCTACTAAAAATACAAAATTAGCCGGGTGTGGTGATGTGTGCCTGTAATCCCCCCTCCAAGAAAAAAAAAAACAACACTAGAAAAACAGGACCCCGGACCCCTAGGTTCAAATCCTAACTCTGCACCACTCAGTCCATATGTAATAAGCAGCATATATGCATATTTATTATTTGCATTATTGTTACATAAGTGTATATGTGTATACCGGTTCATGATGTAAAATATTGCCTATGAAACTAGGCTTGGGATCCACTTGAGGAAACACTGTCCTAAGACAAAAATAATAGCTAATAGTGAGTAACATTATTGAGTGCTTAACAAGTCCTCCAGCTGAATGCTTTGCATCTTATCTTGTCTCTCACAACAGTCCTTTGGTGTAGGTATTGCCATTATCCCGCAGTACCTACATCCCAGTAAGTAGTGAAGGCAGAATAGGAACCCACGCAATCTGGTGACAGCCCAAGCGTTCAACCACCTCACCTCCCATCTTACAATGTGATAGCGATACATAGATGTACATCTACAAAACTGTGAGGCTCAAAAATTGTAGAGCATTGTACAAGTGCGGAAATAAGCTGATGCCAGTTATTTTCTGTGTAAGAGGAGGCCTGATGGGTGATAGGGGAATCATTGCACATTTAGGCAGGAAGAGACCTCACTGCTGCCAGCCTGTGGTCTCTGAAGGTTAACGCCCTTGAAAAAACAGCTATATGCCCAAAGAAATATGCTTGTCCCAGAGACTGACTACAGATTTTGTCTCCAGAGCTGTCTTCCTTCCCTCCTAACCACTTCCTAACTTCTGCACACATTTGTTTTTAGCAGATAGTGACAAATGGTCTCAGTGGATATGTCTGTCTTATAAATCTACCACTATTTACTACATCCTAAGTTATTTGTCTTTTCAAAATCACCTCCTGCCCACAAGTGCCTCGTGACATAGTTTTAATAAAATAAATAGAAAACAATGTTGTTTTAAGAATTTCATATGACAAAAGAAGTCTTGAAAGTGAGGCTGGAAATATTTTTTCTCCAGTGCAATCTAGAAAGTAAAACTAATTTCATTTTGGAAGTAGATTTCAGTTTTCCTTAAAGGTCAAACTTAATGTAATCGGATCACTTAAAGTCCATAGACTTTGTCAGGTAGACTAGAAGAGGCAACAGCTTGCCATCATGCTTACTTTCCTTTAAAAAGTACAGAAGCTGTGTCTAACGTGAAAAATTCTAAAGCTATTCAGATTTTGTTCAAGGCTGTAGAATCTTCCATCTCTGAGGACAGTGATCCAGACTCTATCTGTGGAATAAAAAGGGGCAAGATGAACTGCCTTTGAGAAAACATTGAAAGTGGGGTAATACTTTTAGACAGGTGTAGACAAAGCTTAAGAAGTAACTATGCTTAACTATGGCGGTATAGGAAATTAGCCCATACTTTAAATGATATTATTTAACTTTGAAGCAATTATAATGAATTATAATGACAATCAACTGAATATAAACATAAATGTCTCTAAAAATAGCATAGCTTTACTATTCACCAAACATTTCATTTATTAACAAAGTAGATTTCGTACTCTTTTTTTACACTTATGATGACTTGACTGCCAAAGAAATATTTAAATGGCAATAATTAGAAGTTTTAAAGCATAAATTAAAACTGTATGTAGCTAAAATTAACATATATTTTTTAAACTGTGCTGGTTGATAAAATAGTCTTTCAAGTTATTTTCATTCTGTTGATTCATGAGTGAATAGTGTTAATTAAGAAATGTTGATACCATTGTAATGCAATCCCAATAGAAATAGTATTTTTTTACTGAACTTGGAGTATTTGCAAATTAAAATTAGAATTCTGTAATATAATCATCCTGGAATTTCTAATGGAAATATATCTCCTGGAATTTCTAAATTCTAGTTTGCACTGAAACTTAAAGTATATTTATATAGAAACACTGATAACTAAAATATACCTACATGTAGTAGCAGGAATATTAACTTGTGGGTGACATTTTTTCTGCCTTTGTGGTATTATGTTCCCACATACCATAGACTTCAAAAGTATGGCATTTTGAAACATTTTCCAGTCTTGTCATTGACAGCACAGTATTCACAAAAACCATATTTATCTCCTGTAATTTTAGCAGCTAATAGAATTGTTCTTGAGGAAGCTGATTATCTTTTCTGTGACATTTTGATTGGTGTTTCCCCATTTTAATTTCAGCTTATATGTGGCATAAAATTGATTTATATGAAAAGGAGTGGCTTGCCATTTTATAACAAAATTTTGATTGTATATGTATGCACATAAAAATAAAGATGAAAATTCTCCATTAACTGATTCGCAGAATGATACAGTTATGATCAAATAGTGGCATATCGTGATCTTTTAAGATCAAGCCACTGACCCAAATCAGTGTTCACTTACAGAATCATAAATGTAGCAATTCAGAAATGTTGCTTTTTATTAGCTATTGGACAATATTTGTGAAGTCCCTAGCACAGTCCTTGGCTCAGAGTGACTTTTTTTCACTCTTCTTTCTTGTTCATAACACAAGTTCTAACTTATTTTATCGAAATGGGAAATTAAAGAGGATTTTCTGGATGATAACTGCTCCCCTGTTCAGTGTCTCAGAGCCAGAAAATGCCTTTGGAAGGCACGCAATTTATTTCTTAGAGTCTTGGCTTGACCATAGCCATCACAGAAGGATGAGACTCCATTCCACTTTGGCCTATGAATATTTTATATTAGTTCTCAACATATTGTTTGTCCAAGCCAACTTAACATGACTCTGATGTTGTACCTTAAGGCTTACTTCGGTTTCATCCGGCTTCTAGTTTGTTTGCTTGTTGCATATTTACCTTGCCTTTCCAAATAAATCATTATCTCTTTGTGTTTAGAAATTATATTAAGTAAATGTTTTTGTCTTAGGGCATTTGATGTTTTTTCGATAGGAGTCAGCTATTTTGTAAATAAAGTCCAATTGGTACACAGCCATACCCATTGTTTACATGTTACCTGTGACTGCCTCTACATGAACACTGAAGAGTTGAGTAACTGGAACAGAGACCAGGTGGCCCATAAAGGTGACAATGCACTGGCTAGCCTGTTATTGACTGAATTTTTAATTTTGATTAATTCAAATTTTAATAGCCTCTGTGGCTACTGGACAGCAGTTTCAGATGGAACACAAAGGTGTTCTTTCCTCCAGGCCAGTTAACTAATGTGATCTGGCTTCTTGTGCTGCCCTAAGATGCAGCACCCTTCCACTGGGTTCTTCAGACAGACCATTGACCTTTGCCCATGGCTGGCCTGGGCAGACCCTGGACTGAAGAAGTTCTTAATGAGTTGCTACTTTAGACAGCACCACAAGCCCAGAAGAGATGGCAAGCGAGGCAGGGGGCAGAGGTTCTCAACCATGGCTGCACAAAAAATCATCTGACGAACTCTACAATTCCAGCGGCACCCCAAATCTATTAAATCAGAATCTCTGGGTGGGTCGGGGAGCTCAGACACCAAACTTTTTTTTAAAAGCTTCCCAGATGATTTCATTGTGCTCTACTGGCTAGGCAACATCACAGGTGAGCTAGGTAGCCTGTGTACTTCAGAATTCCACCAGGTCATCACAGGCAAGCTTATGGGCAGATGGGCAGGGAAATGGACACATGAAGGCCAGTGGACACCTAGCTTAGCTTAACAGGAAAGCTCTGGTGGGGACTGAGCTGTTTTCCCACCTGGTTTCTCTAGCACCAGGGCCCATTTGCTCAGTAGGGCCAAAGTGTAGATTTGTGTGTGACAGAGGTGAGCTTCAAAGAAGGAAAAATGCAGGATCTTCCAACTCACACATCCAGTGCTTTCTACTTATGTATTCAAAAACATTTATAGAGCACATTTTAATACATTTTTGTGTTGCTATAAAGGAATACCCGAGGGTAGTGGGTAATTTATAAAGAAAAGAGGTTTATTTGGCTCCTAGTTTTGCAGGCTGTACGAGAAGCATGGTGCCAACATCTGGTTCTGGTGCAGGCTTCAGGCTGTTTCCACTCATGGTGGAAGGTGTGGGGGAGCCAGTGTGTGCAGAAATCACATGCCGAGAGAGGAGGCAACCAGAGAGAAGGGAGGGAGGGGACAGCCTCTTTTTAACAACCAGCTTTCTTGGGAGCTCATAGAGTGAAAACTTGCTACTGTGAGGTTGCTACCAAGACATTTATGAAGGATCAGCCCCATTACCTAAACCCCTCCCATTAGTCCCCACCGCTAACATTGGGTATCAAATTTCAACATAAGGTTTGGAGGGATCAAATATCCAAACTATACCAGAGTGCCTACTGCATGTTTAAGATATGCCACACTTATTCAGTCTAGTGGGGTGACTGCCATGTAAACAGTTACCATACAGTGGGGTAAGCATGCTAATTGAGAGGCATCCTAGGGTACCATAAGAACATGAGGGGCAGCCGCCCTGGATAGATAAGGGGAGAGACATCAGGTGGTGCTTTCCAGAGATGGTGACACCCAAGCTGAGTCTTATAGGATCAAAAAGAGTAGTCACGTGAAAAGGGGAAAATGAAAAAAAGCAGATACACACTGGGATGAGGCCCTGGCTGACTTTTCTGTCCCTAAGTCTGAACACTATAAGATAGCTCCTTCCTGAGGAAGACTCTCCCTGCTATTTTAGCAAACCTCATGGAATGTCCTTATTTTAACTGACCTTTACCATTTACTCATTCACTCATTCATTCAAATATGATTTATTGAAGCATTGCTATGTGTAGCCATAATCTAGGTATTGGTGATAGAGCACTGAACAAAATGGACATTTCTGTCCTCAGGGAGCTTTACATTATAGTGGGGAGGACAGACCGTAGATAAATAAATAGTATAGTGTATGCTGTATGTGCTATGGAGAAAAAAAATCATGGTAAAGAATTTGGGGGTGCTGGAGAATGTTTTCTAAGAACTACAAGTCTCATTGCTGAATGAGGCAACCCCCTTCCACCCTTTGTCATCCCAACTCTTCATTCAATTCCCAGTCACTCCTGTTTATTTCTTAAAGAACTGACAATCTGGCTCCATGTCTTCCTGTACCTCCCTTTCTCCCCCAACTCTTGCAGTAACTTATGGCAATGACATCATCCTAGAGGGTCTGACCGATGAATTCAGCCTCAAACTCCATTGGACCTTCTTAGCATCTTCACCTCCACTAAACCATACCTACTCACTCTCAAGCCTTCACCCAAACTCTTGTCTGGCTGCTATTTTTTCACCTCAGAAATCTTAACCCCACTATCCCATTCTCTGAACATAACTGTGCATCCTTTGAACATAACTGTGCATCCTGCCAGCTCTTCCTTTCTTTCTTTCTTTCTTTTTTTTTTTTTGAGACGGAGTCTCGCTCTGTCGCCCAGGCTGGAGTGCAGTGGTGCGATCTCGGCTCACTGCAAGCTCCGCCTCCTGGGTTCACGCCATTCTCCTGGCTTAGCCTCTCTGAGTTGCTGGGACTACCGGTGCCCGCCACCATGCCTGGCTAATTTTTTTGTACTTTTAGTAGAAACAGGGTTTCACCGTGGTCTTGATCTCCTGACCTCGTGATCCGCCCACCTCGGCCTCCCAAAGTGCTGGGATTACAAGCATGAGCCATCGTGCCTGGCTCCTTCCAGCTCTTTCATACCCTACTCCTCAATCTATTTTTTCATTGAGACCTCTAGTCTCTTGACTTCCCACAGTTGCCCAAACTCTTTCTTATATATCCATCTGTATCTCTGTTTTCACAGTGCTATAAAGAACGGCCCAAGAGTGGGTAATTTATCAAGGAAACTTCTGCATGGCTAGGGAGGCCTCAGCAAACTTAAAATCATGGCAGAAGGGGAAGCAGGCACGTCTTACATGGCTGCAGGTGAGAGAGAGAGAGAGTTCATGAGAGTTCATGAGAGAGAGCATGTGAAGGTGGAACTGTTAAACACTTATAAAACCATCAGATCTTGTGAGAACTCACTCACTACCATGAGAACAGCATGGGGAAACTGCCCTCTTGATCTAGTCACCTCCCACCAGGCCCCTCCCTCAACACATGGGGATTATGGGGATTACAGTTCTAGGTGAGATTTGGGTGGGGACACAGAGCCAAACCATATCAACCTCCTTTCCTCAGAGGATATGATGTCCATTTTTCTTTGTGTTTAAGACTAGCACATCACCTGAACCCCTAATGCCATCTCCTCTCACCTCCTTTGGGTCCAGGGTTTTTGCTCTATTATTATATTCCTCTCTTCTGTGGTCCTGTACCTCTCTCTGCTCTTTGCTAGCTCCTTCCCATCAGACAAGCATTTGCAAATTTCTTACATTCTAAAAAATAATTCTCCTGGGTTAAATAAATTAAGGTCGATCTCTACAATAGAATACTATACAGTCCTCTGAAATGTTGACGGAGTTGTATATATCTCCAATAAAGAGATGATTACAAAAAGAAGTGAAAAAGTTTAAAGAGCTTTGTTAAGTGATTTCCTTTTTAAATTTTAATTACTTACATGTTTAATCCTTACTTGTGGTAAAATCCACATAATGGAATTGACCACCTTCACTATTTTTAAGTGTACAGTTCCGTAGTCCCAAGTATATTAACATTGCTGTACATCCAATCTCCAAAACTTCTTTCGTCTTACAGAACTGAAACTCTATACCCATTAAACAACTCCCCATATCCTCCTACCCCTAGCCCCTGACAACCATTATTCTACTTTTCTCTATGAATTTAATTTCTCTAGATACCTCATATAAGTGGAATCATATGGTATAGTATTTGTCTTTTTGTGGCTGGCTTATTTCACCTAGCGTAATGTCCTCATGATTCATCCATGTTGTAGTACGTGTCATCATTTCCTTCCTTTTTAAGGCTGAATAATATTCCATAGTATATATACCACATTTCAAATCATTTTATTTTTGAAGAAAAATATTTTTGTTAGTATATGTAAGTGTATATATTCATATGAATATATTACATGCAAACATGCACACATATATATATATTTGTGCAAAAGATTGCACATCAAATGTAACAGTGGTTATCTCTGAATTGGGGATTTTTTTTTTTAGTACTTCTCATCTTCTTCTTTATCACCATCTCTGCCTTCTGAAGTATTTCCAATGAACACATTTCCCTATAGCGAAAGCCAAATCATTGGCTGCAATGCCATTACCCCCAGGATGGGGCACTTGCCCACCTCTCTGGCTCACCTATCACCACTCTCTGACTTACTCATGATTCCCTAAGCATCACAAACTCTGTTTCCTGCACACACAAGTGGTTGGGAGCCTTGCAGCCCTGTCCATGCCCTGACATCTGCATGCAGTGCCTCCTCACCAGCTTAAAGCCTTCACATCCCTGAAGACCCAGCCCAGGGCCATTACCTCCTCGCTTGCCCACCACCTGCCCCAGTGCTGGGTTAGTTTCCTCTCTTTGGAGCTCCCTGGTTTCCTGTACCAATTTCCAGCTGCTGCACTTATTTCCTAATTAATTATCTATGAATTGCATGGGAGTGGGACTGTGTCTTCATATTCACTCCATCTAGCACAGAGCCCAGCCAGCAAGCTCAGCAATTTGGGGAGCCACTTTTGGTTCAGAGGGACTGGACTGCAGCATGCTCAGAAAGGCAATGGGAAAGGAGATGGTAGACTTGCCCTGGGACCCTTCATTCCACAACACCCTGCTGCCCCTTGCACGAACAATGTAAAGATTTTTAAATATATTACATTTTATTAAAAATAAATGAGATGTTATTGAAAATAAATTTGATATTTAAGTGATTGAAAAACTATGTTTTAATTTTTTAAGTAATTTCAGCTGTTTAGGAGGTACATGTCCAAGTTTGTTACCTAAATATATTGCATGATACTGAAGTTTGGGATACAATTGTTCTCATCACCCAGGTACTGAGCATAGTACCCAATAGTTAGTTTTTCAGTCCTTTCTGTCCTCCCTCCCCTCTCTGGTAGTCCTCATCTTTATGTCCATGAGTACCCATTGTTTAGCTCCCACTTATGAGAACGTACGGTATTTGTTTTTCTGTTTCTGCATTAATTCACTGAGGATAATGGCCTCTAGCTGTATCCATGTTGTTGCAAAGGACATGATTTCATTCTTTTTTATGGCTGTATAGTATTCCGTGGTGTATATGTACCACATTTTCTTGGACCAGTTCCCCATTGATGGGTACCTAGGTTGATTCCATGTCTTTGCTATTGTGAATAGAGCTGTGATGAACATATGAGTGCATGTGTCTTTTTGGTAGAATGATATATTTTCTTTTGGCTATATATCCAGTAAGAGGACTGCTGGGTTGAATGGTAGTTCTGTTTCAAGTTCTTTGAACTGCTCCAAACTGCTTTCCACTGTGACTGGACTAATTTATATTCCCACCAACAGTTCCTAAGCATTCCCTTTTCTCTGCAGCCTTGCCAACATCTGTTGTTTTTTGACATTTTAATAATAGCCATTCTGACTGGTGGGAGATGGTATCACATTGTGGTTTTGATTTGCATTTCTCTGGTGATTAAACCTTTTTTTTCTTTTTTTTTTATTTTTGAGACAGTCTTGCTGCGATGCCCAGGTTGGAGTGCAATGGTGCAATCTCAGCTCCCTGCAACCTCCGCCTCCTGGGTTCAAGCTATTCTCCTGCCCCAGTCTCCCAAGTAGCTGGGACTACAGGCGTGTGCCACCATGCCCGGCTGATTTTTGTATTTTTAGTAGAGATGGGGTTTCACCATATTGGCCAGACTGGTCTCGAACTCCTGACCTCAAATGATCCGCCCACCTTGTCCTCCCAAAGTGCTGGTATTACAGGCATGAGCCACTGCGCCCAGCTGATTAAACCTTTTTTTTTTTTCATGTTTGTTGGCTGCTTGTATGTCTTTTTTTGAGACGTGTGTGTTCATGTCTTTTGCTCATTTTTTATTTGGGTTATTTGTTTTTTGCTTGTTTAATTGTTTCTTATAAATTCTGGATATTAGACCTTAGTTACGTGCATAGTTTACCAACATTTTCTTCTCCCATTCTGTAGGTTGTCTGTTTACTCTGTTGATAGTTCCTTTGCTGTGCAGAAACTCTTTAGCTTAATTAGGTCCCACTTCTCAATTTTTATTTTTGTTGCAATTGCTTTTGAGAACTAAGTCATAAATTCTTTTCCCAAGGTTGATGTCCTGAATGGTGTTTCCTAGGTTTTCTTCTAGGATTCTTATAGTTTGAAACCTTACATTTAAATATTTAATCCATCTTGAGTTAATTTTTGTATATGGTGAAAGGTAGAAGTCCAGTTTTATTTATTTTATTTTATTTATTTATTTTTGAGACAGAGTCTCACTCTGTTGCCCAGGCTAGAGTGCAGTGGCGCGATCTTGGCTCACTGCAACCTCCACCTCCCGGGTCACACCATTCTCCTGCCTCAGCCTCCCAAGTAGCTGGGACTACAGGCACCCACTACCATGCCTGGCTAATTTTTTGTATTTTTAGTAGAGACGGGGTTTCACTGTGTTAGCCAAGATGGTCTCGATCTCCTGGCCTCGTAATCTGCCCGCCTCGGCCTCCCAAAGTGCTGGGATTACAGACGTGAGCCACCACGCCCGGCCCCAGTTTTATTTTTCTGCATAAGGCTAGCCAGCTATCCCAGCAGCATTTACTGAGTAGGGAGTCCTTTCCCCATTGCCTATTTTTTGTCAATTTTGTCAAAGATCAGGTGGCTGCAGGTGTGTGGCATTAATTCTGTGTTTATTCTGTTCCACTAGTCTGTCTGTTTTTGTACCAGTACTATGCTGTTTTGGTTACTGTAACCTTATAGTATAGTCTGAAGTTGGGTAATGTGATACCTCTGGTTTTGTTCTTTATGCTTAGGATTGCTTTGGTTATTCCAGCTCTTGTTTAGTTCCATGTGAATTTTAGAATAGGTTTTTTCTAGTTCTGTGGGAAATGACATTGGTAGTTTGATAGGAATAGTGTTGAATTTGTAGATTGTTTTAGGAAGAACAGCCATTTTAATAATATTGATTCTTCCAATCTGTGAGCATAGAATGTTTTCCATGGTTGTGTCATCTGTAATTTCTTTCAGCAGTATTTTGTAGTTCTCCTTATAGAGATCGTTTACCTCCTTGGTTAGATATATTCCTAGATTTTTTGTTTTATTTTGTTTTTTGCAGCTATTGTAAATGGGATTGTGTTCTTGATTTGGCTCTTAGCTTTTTTTTTTGTTTTTTTGAGACAGAGTCTCCCTCTGTCATCCAGGCTGGAGCGCAATGGTGCAATCTCAGCTCACTGCAACCTCCGCCTCCTGGGTTCCAGCAATTCTCATGCCTCAACCTCCCGAGTAGTTGGGAGCTGTGCACCACCATGTCCAGCTAATTTTTGTATTTTTAGTAGAGACAGGGTTTTGCCATGTTGGCCAGGCTGTTCTCAAACTCCTGGCCTTAAGTGATTTGCCAGCCTCAGCCTCCCAAAGTGCTGGGATTACAGGTGTCAGCCACTGTACCTGGCCAAGTTTATAGGATTTTCTAAGTATAGATTCATACCACCCACAAAGAGAGATAGTTTGACTTTTTCTTTTCCTATTTATTATTTTCTTTCTCTTGCCTGATTACTGTGGCAAGGATTTCCAGTACTATGTCAAATAGGAGTGGTAAGAGTGGGCATCCTTGTCTTGCTCCAGTTCTCAAGGGGAACGCTTCCAGGTTTTGCCCATTCAGTATAATGTTGGCTGTGGGTTTGTCCTAGATGGCTCTTATTATTTTGAGGTATGTTCCTTCAATGCCTAGCTTCTTTATTTTTATCATGAAAGAATGTTGGATTGTATTGAAAGCTTTTACCACATCTATTGAGATGATGATATGGTTTTTGTTTTTAATTCTGTTTATGTTATGAATCACATTTACTGATTTGCATATGTTGAACCAGCCTTGCATCCCAGAAGTGAAGCCTATGCGATCACGGGGAATTAACTTTTTGATGTGCTGCTGGATTCGATTTGCTAGTATTTTGTTGAGGACTTTTGTGTCTATGTTCATCAGGGATATTGGCCTGTAGTTTTCTTTTTTTGTTACATCTTTACCAGATTTTGTTATCAAGGTGATGCTGGCTTCATAAAATGAGTTAGGGAGGAGTCCCTCCTCCTTGATTTTTTGACTAGTTCCAGTAGAATTGGTACCAGCTCTTCCTTGTACATCTGGTAGAATTTGGCTGTGAATACATCTGGTCTTTTTTCATTGGTAGATTTTTGGGGCTTTTTTCATTTGTAGATTTTTTTAAATTACTGCTTAAATTTCAGAACTTGATATTGGTCTGTCCAGAGTTTCATTTTCTGATTCAATCTTGGAAGACTGAAAAACAAATGCTACATTTCAGTTTTTTTTTGCATAGTCTTACTCTGTCACCCAGGCTGGAATATAGTGGTGCAAACATGGCTCACTGCAGCCTCTACCTGCCTGGCTCAAGCCATCCTCCTACCTCAGTCTCCCAAGTAGCTGGGACCACAGGTGTGCACCTCCACACTTGGCTAATTTTTGTATTTTTTGTGCAAACAAGGTTTTGCCATGTTGCCCAGGCTGGTCTCGAACCCCTGGGCTCAAGGAATCCACCTGCCTGGGCCTCCCAAAGTGCTGGGATTACAGGCATGAGCCACTGTGCTCGGCCATACATTTTGATCTTAATGATACTGGTCAACTCTGGCGCCTATGCTGGGTCAGGTGGGCAGGGCCTTCTGTTGTGTTGGGCCCATCAGGCATGTTCAATAAATACCTGTTAACTTCCTTAATAACCCTGCTAGTTCCCTGTTATCAAACTTCTCTTCCTTAAATTCATCCACTTTGACAGGCTGGGACAAGAGTTCTTTAACAGCAAAGGAGGCCTCTATTATCACCCTCCAAGTCATGCGATAGTGACTAGCTGCTCACACTACATGTATGATTGACCTTGAACAGGACCCTTATGGGAAATAAAAACAAATCAAAAGATCTGCTACCGACATGGCACCCTAGGGTGTTTAAGCACCTTAGTAGGTGAAAACTTAATGAATATTTACTGCACTTGATGTTGCCAGCTACACCTGGACGGTGAGGGGCAGTTAATATCCGATCGTTCGTAATAGTGGTTCACACTGACAAGCTCAGAAAGGCCATCAAAATTTGGTAAAACAAATCTTGCAAAATGATATAGTTAGGTAGTTTGGGGAAATTTTCTTATGTATCAAAGGAGGATCTGTAGGCCTCCCTTAGGGGACATTGAAGGGACAGAAGGAAAAATGAAAGACAGTTTTAATTACTGTGGAAATGAACTGATTGGAGTGGTCTTCAGCTTCTCGGCCCACAAGGGTTTCTCTTGATTTTTCCTTGAGAGAATTGGCCCTATGTGAATGGTTTATTCCAGAGCATCTGAAATAATTTTAGGAAAAATATTGATTGATGACAGGACATTTCATGTTTGAAATGATACATTGTTTAGCTCTTGAATGAGTATGTTGTATATGGGCATAGGTAACCTGTGCTATTTGCATCAGAGTCACAGCCTCTTCATTCAATGTTGTCTTCATCCAAGATCAGGCCCTTTTGTAGAAATCTGGCTAGACTAGTTAGTTCTGGTTTTTATATTGTTGTTTTCTTTCATTTTTTTCTAGTAGGCTAGAAAAAGTAGTAACAGCGTTACTTGGAATAAGCATTAGACTTGCAGATGTAATATCAGCATTCAAGTCCTGGCCTAATCACCTGCTATATTGGCTGTATGCTTGGATAAGTTATTTATTTTAGCTTAGGTTTCCATTTTTCAGCAGTAAAATGTGGATATACTTGTCTGTCTGGATCTCTAAACTGTATGTGGTTGAAAGTAGGGGTCATGGCTCATCCACCACTGGAAACTCAATATATGGGATAGATCCTTGCAAGTAAGAACTCTGTAAATATTTGTTGAACAAGTAAGATTGATCTTAAAGAGGAAGTAGAATGAGAAGCAGCAGAGTGTAGTGTTAAGAGCACAGGTCCTGGAGTTAGACCCCCTGGGCCCAATCCTGGTTCCAGTATTCCCAGCAACGTGATGTTGGACAGGTTATTACTTTTGTGCATCTGTAAAAGTGGATGCTAGTACCTACCTCCTAGGGTTGTTGTATTAGTTGTGCCAGGCACATAGTAAGTGCTATATACATAACAGTCATTAATACAGTGCATGAAACATTTTGCAAAGTGCTATTCACATAAAGGTAATATGTATTCCATGAGGTCTTGCTCATGGAAGGTCTTCACACCGTGAAGTACTTTCAGTACTGTGTCTTTCCCGGTCTTAACTAGTGGTAATTCCTTTCAGTTTCACATTTTCTTCGGTCCAGCTAGTGTGTCTTTCACCTGGATCCATTTAATGACACTGGCAATCACCTTGATGCAAATATAAGGTTCCAAGAAGGACTGAGCTTGAACTGACCTGCCTGGAACTCTTCTACCTACTCTCTTCTTCCACCACTTGCTATTTAGAAATAAGTCTGAGAACTCCCATGCATTACAAATTTTTAAGACAATGTTAAATAACCATGGTTTGATGTGTGAAAACCCTGTACTAGTTTCCACACTGGTTTCCCTACCTCCTGCCTTTTGGCCACCGGAATCTCATGAGTAGGTCCTGCTTACCTCATCTTCCCTGCACTTCACTTTCACAAGGTCTCCCTGCATCCCAGAGCCCTCTTGAGTGACTACTTATTTATAGGACCAAATCCAAGCTACAGGGATTGGCATTCAAGGCCACATATAATCTGAACCCATTTTATTTGTCCACATTTTTCTTCCAGTTCCTCGCTTATGTAGACTTTTACTGCCCACTGATCTGAACCCTGTCCTGTCTTCTTCTGTTTTCATGGTTCCCACATTGAAATGCCCTCCCTGGCCCATTCTATTTATTTACATTTGTCCACAGCTTTAAGACCCACTTATTCCATAAACCTTACCTTTTCCTAAATATTGACTGGCTTCCTCCTATATTTTGGCATTTGGTTATATTTAATTAACAGCTTTATTAGATGCCATTTTTATTAGTATCTTCTCATTAAAGACTCAGACCAAGTTGATAATATTAAAATTATTATAAGCTTTCCAGTTGGGCATTTAGGAAAACTGTCCTTGTTTTGTACGTGTAAGTAAAAAAATAAATCAATAACATTTTTCTCTTGGCAGCTGTATTTCTACCTTACTGCGCATTAAGTATAGCCCTAGAGTCCAGACCATATGCAGTAAAACAAAATAATATTATAGAGCAAGGCAGGGCTGTTACTATTATGGGAACCATAAGTATATATTTCTTGACTTTTTATGAGAACCGTAAGTATGTATTTCTTGACTTTTTAGAATACATGAGACTTGGGCTGTTTTAGTATATCAACAGTTCGTCACTATTTAACCATGGATAGACTATTGAATTAAGAGCTGGAACCCCACCGTCATTTAAGTACATAGTGGGAATTCAGTATTTAAGTACATAGTGGGAATTCAATAAATGTGTACAAATTGATTTGTGGCTTATTTTGGGCTCCTCACTGATTTAGTCTGATCTGTACATTTCAAGTCATCTCTTTGTACTAATTTAGAATATCATCTAATACTGAAGTTTTATTAAATTTAAGAAATAATGAAATAAAATGTTGTTGCTAGAGTACAGACATAGTACATCCATCATTATAATCAACATCCTTTTCCTTTTCTTTTCCCCTCTCTGTTCCTTCTTTTTCTTCTGTTTTTTCACATCAATGGTTATCTGAAATGAGGAGAGCAATGAGCTAGGAGCTGTATAGATGTGTAGATGAATGAAACATTGCCTCCTCTCTCTAAGAAATTACAGCTGAGCATAGCAGACATACATGTGAACAACTATGATCTACCCATATTATGAGATTGAATCAAATCAGGGTTAAATATTTACATAAGAAAACTTTGGGGAAATACAGAGAAAGGAATAGAAGGATAGAAAGTATATAACTTATCCTTACTAAGGATTTCCTTGCTAAGGAAAGTATATAAATCATCCTTACTAAGCTTCTAGTATGTGCCAAACCCTGCACTAGATAATAATTATGTGACTGCATCCCCATAACAAATATTTGAGGTAGGTACATTAATCTGCTTTTCAAAAATAAATAAATTGGAGTGCACTGTGATTAAATAAATTGCTTAAATTCAAACAGCTAGTAGAGACAGAGCTGGGATTCAAATCAACCTGTCTTAGAAGAATAAGTTCACAAGATCTATTGTACATCATGGTGACTAGAGCTAATGACAATACATTGTATACTTGAAAATTGCTAAGAGAGTAGATTTTAAGTGTTCTCACCACAGAAAAATAAGTATGTGGGATAATGCATATATTAATTTGTTTGATTTATCCATTCCACAGTACATACATATATCAAAACATCATGTTGTACACCATAAATATATACAACTTTTATTTGTCAATTAAAAAATAGCACACAACAATAAATCAACCTGTCTTTGTGTCAGGATAAAAATATAGTAATTATGTAAATAAAAACGTTTCAATGGGTGCTTCTTTTAAATAACCACAGAGCTTTGCAAGGGTTTGCATTTCCCTAGAAGAACTTAGCCAGGATAAAAAGCAATAAGATGCAAAATATTAATATTAATAATAATAATGCTTAGATGGAAAAAAGCAAAACCTTTTTAAGAAAACACCCTTCAGTTTTGAAGCTTCCCAGGTAGTGAAACACTAATTAAAAGAATAGGTAATAGCCAGGCGCGGTTGCTCACACTGTGTTCCCCGCACTTTAGGAGGCTGAGGTGTGGGGAGGATTGCTTGAACTCAGGAGTTTGAGACCAGCCTGGGCCACATAGTGAGACCCCATCTCAACAAAAACATCAATAAATTAGCCGGGCATGGTGGCATGCACCTGTAGTCCCAGCTACTCAGGAGGCTGAAATGGGAGGATCACTTGAGCCCAGAAGGTTAAGGCTGCAGTGAGCCATGACAACAGAGCAAGACCTTGTCTCAAAAAAAAAAAAAAAAAAAAAAAAAAAAAAAAAAAAAAAGAATAGGTAGAAACATTGAATGACTATGACTTATTTGGGCTTAGACACCAATTTTATGTGCAGGTGTTTGCCTCAACAGTTCCTTCTTCCAGATGAACATTAGAAACACTGTCAAATTCCAAACTAATCTCCTTAAGTTTTTCTATTGAATTCTTTGGTATCTCTAAATTTGGCAAGAGTGGTTTTCTTCACAGTATTCTGTTAATAATTTACCTTCCAGGAACATTTATTCAAGTTTTTGTGTCTCTTAGTAGTTTTGTGGGATTTGTTCATGTACATTTCTTATAGGTAGTCCTCAATATTTTATGGGTTTTGTTGCTATTGTAGATGTTTCCATTTTTATTCTGTATATTTAAAAGTTGTGGCCAGGCACGGTGGCTCACGCCTGTAATCCCAGCACTTTGGGAGGCAGAAGCGGGCAGATCACGAGGTCAGGAGATCAAGACCATACCGGCTAACACGGTGAAACACCATCTCTACTAAAAATACAAAAAATTAGCCGGGCGTGGTGGCGGGCGCCTGTAGTCCCAGCTACTCGGGAGTCGGAGGCAGGAGAATGGCGTGAACCCGGGAGGCGGAGCTTGCAGTGAGCCGAGATCGTGCCACTGCACTCCAGCCTGGGCGACAGAGCGAGACTCTGTCTCAAAAAAAAAAAGTTGTTTGGATTTTTATCCTTTATCCAATTCATTATATGAACACTCATTAATTCCAATAATATTTTAATCAATTCTCTGGTCTTGCTGTTGCAGATAATAATTCTATGTTATTGTAATTAGACCCCTTATTTTTGCTTCTCATCTTACTGAATTGGTAAAAACGGCCAGAACAGCATTAATGATCATGATAATAGTATTCATTCATCCTAATTTTGTTTAATAGGAAAGCTCCCCTTTCATCCCAAAGAATGATGCTGGATGGTACTTTGAAAAAGAGTTTGAAAAAGAGAGATACTCATTATAAAATCTTTTTATTCCTGGTTTTCTTAGCTATTTTGTAAGGAACGATCACTGAATTTTATCAAATATCTTTTGTGTTTGTTTGTTTGTTTGAGACAGGGTCTAGGTCTGTTCCCCAGGCTGGAGTGCAGTGGCGTGATCTCAGCTCACTGCAGCTTTGACCTCCCAGGCTCAAGTGATCCTCCCACCTTAGCCTCCTGAGTAGCTAGGACTTACAGGTGTGCGACACCACACCTGGCTAATTTTTGTATAATATTTTTGGTATAGTTAAGGTTTCGCCATGTTGCCCAGGCTGGTCTCAAACTCCTGAGCTCAAGCAATCTGCCCACCTCAGCCTCCCAAAGTGCTGGGATTGCAGGCATGAGCCACTGCACCTGGTCCCTCAAATGTCTTTTTAACATCTTTTGAGTTCATTCTAAGGCTTTGACTCATTAATATATTACATGTTGATAATAACAACTGTAAATTTTCTGGGATAAACTCTCCGGGGTAATGGTTTATTTTTCTTCTAGTATATTGTTGACATATGCTATTTTCTATTTCAGACTTTTTTTACCCATCTTATTTATCAGGGCAATAAGTATATATCATATGTAATTACATTTGGGGATTACATTGTACATACACTTATATCCTGAATTTTCTGTATATATAAGCATTTTCCTATGGCATTAGAAATTCTTCAAAAACATATCTGAATGACTGCGAATTAATTATAGGTACACTATAACTTACTCCTTCCTCTGTTTTTCATTGCTTCAGGTTTTTTTCTAACTTTCTGCTGTTATAAAATAATGCATAGGCTGGGTGCGGCGGCTCATGCCTGTAATCCCAGCACTTTGGGAGACTGAGATGGGTGGATCATTTGAGGTCAGGAGTTCGAGATCAGCCTAGCCAACGTGGTGAAACCCTGCCTCTACTAAAAACACAAAAATTAGCCAGGCGTGGTGGTGGGTACCTGTAGTGCCAGCTACTCAGGAGGCTGAAGCAGGAGAATCGCTTGAATCTGGAAGCAGAGGTTTCAGTGAGCCAAGATCGCGCTACCACACACCAACCTGGGTGACAGAGCGAGACTCTGTCTCAAAATAAAATAAAATAAAAATAATGCAGAGATGAACATCTTTATATATAAACTTTTGTTCATATCTTGGATTGTTTCCTTAGTGTATTAGTTTCCAAGGGCTGCCACAACAAATTACCACAGACTTTGTGGCTTAAAACAGGAGAAACTTATTCTTTCACAGTCCTGGAGGCCGGAAATCCAAAACCAAGTTGTCAGCAGCGCCCTGCTCCTATTGAAGGCTCTAGGGGAGAATCCTTCCTCACCTCTTCCAGCTTCTGGTGGCTCCTGGCCTTCTCTGGCAGCATTATTCCAATCTCTGCCTCTGTCTTCATGTGTGCTTCTTCCCTATGTGTGTCTATTTCCTCTCCTCTTTTTTATAAGGACATCAGTCATTGGATTTAGGTCCCACCCTAAATCCAGGAAGATCACTTCTCAAGATCCTTAACTAATTGCATCTGCAAAACCTCTATTTCCAAAGAAGATGACACTCACAGGTAATGGGGATTAGGTCTTGGACACATCCTCTGGAGGGACACAATTCAGTCCAGTACGCTTAGTGTGAATTTGTGTGAGCAGAAATAGGAAGTCAAGGATAGGAGCATTTTTAAGCCTCCTGATACCTATCACCCAGTTGTTTTCCAAAGGGTGTAAAAGGACCTGCTCATTTATCATCAATGGTATGGAGAATACCCATTTGTCTACCTCTTTGCCTGCATTAAGTATTACCATTTTAAAAAATATATTTTCTTCTTGGATACAGTAAAATTGGAAATTCATTATTTTAAAATTTCTTTAATAATTGGTGAAGTTGGGCCGGACGCGGTGGCTCACGCCTGTAATCCCAGCACTTTGGGAGGCCGAGGCGGGCAGATCACAAGGTCAGGAGATCGAGACCATCCTGGCTAACACAGTGAAACCCCATCTCTACTAAAAAAATACAAAAAAAATTAGCCGGGTGTGGTGGCTGGCGCCTGTAGTCTCAGCTGCTCGGGAGGCTGAGGCAGGAGAATGGTGTGAACCTGGGAGGTGGAGCTTGTAGTGAGCCTAGATCGAGCCACTGCACTCCAGCCTGGGCGGCAGAGTGAGATCCAGTCTCAAAAAATAATAATAATAATAATTGTTGAAGTTGAACAAAATTTTTGTGCACTTACTATGAATATTTGTATTTCTTCTAATGTAAAATCTTTGTTTACATCTCTTGCCCATTTTTCTTTTGATGCATTAGTGCTCTTCTTATAGATACTAACATTATATATGAAGAATATTAGCCAGTTCTTTGACCTATTGCTTATAAGTATTTTTCTAGTTTGTCATTGACCTTTTAATTTTGCAGAATTTTAGCCTTCTGTGGTCAAACATATCAATATTTCATTTTTTTTTTGTTTTTAATGGGGTCTTGCTATATTGCTCAGGCTGGTCTCCAACTCCTGGGCTTAAGCGATCCTCCCACCTCTGCCTCCTGAGGAGCTGGGACTACAGGCATGCACCATCATGCTCAGCTGTTCATTCTTTGTTTTTTAACCTAGAAAATGCTTCCCTATCCAGACATTAGCTAAATATTTACGTAAGTTTTCTAGCCATGTTATAGTTTTCAAGTTTTACATTTTTACTCTTTATTTCACCTATAGCGTATGTGTGTGATTTGAGTATCTAAATAGGTGGGTCATTTTTTCCCCGTTTAAAAATTGATGTTCCCAGCACGTTTATTAAATAATTCTTTTTTTTTTTTTTTTTTTTTTGAGATGGAGTCTCGCTCTGTTGCCAGGCTGGAGTGCAGTGGTGCTATCTCAGCTCACGGCAACCTCCGCCTCCCGGGTTCAAGCGATTCTCCTGCCTCAGCCTGCTGAGTAGCTGGGACTACAGGTGCATGACACCAGGACCAGCTTATTTTTGTGTTTTTAGTAGAGATGGGGTATCACCATGTTGGCCAGATGGTCTCGATCTCTTGACTTCGTGATCCACCTGCCTTGGCCTCCCAAAGTGCTAGGATTACAGGTATGAGCCACCACGCCCATCCTAAATAATTGTTATATTCCTCACTGATTGCTTTAAAGCAGTTGTTTTCAACCAGAGGTGATTTTTGCCCCTCCCCACAACACTCCCAACCCGGCCTGGGACATTTGACAATGTCAGGAGATATTTTTGGTTGTTGCAGCAGGGAGGGGGGTGCTACATACATCTAACGTGTAGAGGCAGGTATGGTGCTAAACACCTTAGGATGCACAAGTCAGCCCCCACAACAAGGGATTATTCAGCTAAAATGTTAATAGTGCCTCTGCTGAGAAACCCTATTTTAAAAATTAACTTACACTAGCAACCTTCCCCATATTAGATATTCTTTAATGCATAAACTACTGCTGCTACCCAGTCTAGAACCTACTACAAAGAGTTGCTCATATGAGAAACAACTCAATCCCAGGTCAATGGCTACATTTCCTTGGGTGTTCCCTTTTTTCTTCCAACTTGAAGGCCCTTTTAGTTGTTTTATTACATATTTATACATATGGGCCACACATCCTGACTGGGAATTGCATGGTTTCTCCTTGTCACTGTACCTCTGAGGTGTACCTGTGGCTTCCCCACCTGAATTGCTTCTATACCATTGCTACAGTTTGAATCTCCCCTCCAAATCTCATGCCAAAACTTAATTGCCATTGTGATTGTATTGAAAGGTAGGACCTTTAAGAATGATCAGGTCTTGACAGCTTCACCCTAATAAATGGATTAATGCTGCTATTGAGAGAGTGGGTTAGTTGTCATGGAAGTTCAGCCCTGTTTTTCTCCATCTTGTGCTTGCCCTTCCCCACCATTTGACACCTTCTGCCATATTCTTTCCCTGCAAGAAAGCCCTCACAAGATGCAACCCCTTGATCATGGACTTCCCAGCCTCCAGGACTATGAGCCAAATCAACTCCTATTCTTTATAAATTACCCAGTTTGTGGTATGCTGTTATAGCAACAGAAAATGGACTAAGACAACCATGTAGCATCAGATTCATCCAAACAAACCCTCCAAACTGGGTGAAAAAGATGCAGCAGTTCTCTGGTGTATGCAAGAATTGACACAGAAACAATTTTACTTCTGTTGTAACTTAATGTAGGAGTCTGTCTTGGTGCTGTTTATTCAGTTCTGTTGATTTGTTTGCTGGGTTTTTTACAAAACCACATTATTTTTATTACTAAAGTTTATGATATACTTTCTTTAAATACTTTGTGTTTAAGTGTATTATACACTTTAACATATGTTAGGCCAGCCCCCTTCATGGCTCTCATTCTAGGTGAAGTTGGGATGTTCATGGAATTTTATGAAACCTACATAAAGCTGTGGTTTCTAAATTTTAATGTGTATTACAATCACTTGGGGAGCATGTTAAGAAGACAAGTTTCTTGAAAACTTACCCTCCCTCTGCTCCAATTCTATAAGATGGGCATCTGTAAACCAGGAATCTGCATTCTAATCAGCATCTGAGGTGATGTTTGAGGCAGTAATCCTTGGACCCCATTTAGAGATACGCTGCTGTAAAGTAATCTGCACAGAATTGATAACTCTTTACTGTCTCTCCATTTATTTGGGATGTCTTTTTATCTTTTAGCAAAGTTTTCCCTTTATATGTTACATCTTGCACATTGTAAATGGCTTCTTTTTTCTATTATATCTTCTAATTATTTTTGCAAGTACACAGAAAAGCTGTTGATTTTTAGATATTTATGTTGTATTCAGCCACTTTGCTAAGCTCTATTGTTAAATGTAATAGTTTTTCAGTTAACTCTTTTGCAGGGGTGAGGTGAGGGGCTTGGTTGGTAAATAAGCCTATCACCTGGAAACAAATTATTTTTGCCTCCTCCTTTACAGAATTATACTTGTTATTTCTAGCTGTTCACATTGTCCGAAGCTTCCAGAACATTGCAAAATAAACGTTGCAAAATAAACACTAATAGAACCCACCCTTAATTTGTTCCCATAACAACCCTGTAAGTTGGTGGCCTACTCTTTCTTTATATTCTAAGTTTTATTTTCTAGAATAGCAATTTCTTACCAACTGTGAGAGACTTTGTTCTCAAATGTAGCTTGTCTGGCAGAACTCCAGTTACCAAAACCAAGATTTCAAAGGGGATTAGGGATCGCACCAACTTTGGTTTTGGATCTGTAACTAAATTCAGTAATGTGAAAGTTCTAGATGGTAACCTCTTCTAAAACAAACCAGATTTGTTAGTATTGAAACCTGGACTGATAGGTAACTTTTTTCCTGATTTACATTCTTTCATTGTGCGGATAACATTTCTGCGGCTTTATATTTTATTGAGAGGCTGATGCTTTGAACTTGGTCTTCCTTATTTGTTTCTACAAATCTAGCTTAACTACTCCTTAAACTATGGTCATTGAAAAAATTATCAAAGTACTTACTGGCATGTTTGAGAAAGCTGCCTGACAATCCATATATTGAAAAGATGGAGTTAAAAGAGATCTTTCTGCAGTACCAATTGATAAAACTGGTTACGAGATCTAAGGACAGTAATAATTGATGTCTTTTTTGTTTGTCTGTTTAAGACATAAACGGTAGATATGTAAAAAAATTGATAAATAACTGTAAAACTGCATCAGCTCAAAACTGTGAGAGTTGATATATTTTGTTCAGAAATAAAATTGGCTTGTAGTTTTCTTTTTTTGGAGATATGCTTATCAGTTTTTGGCATCAGAAATAGCCTATAAAAAAGTTTGAGTAGCTTTCCATAATTTTCCATATTTGAGCATAATTGATTTAGCATTAAAATTAGCTTTTCTCTAAAAGTTTGCAACTGTTAAAGGATAGTTGTCAGAAAAAGATAAATTCATGGCTCTCATACAAATATATAAATGAATGCGTTACTTTATGGTACACGTTAATTAGTGAGGGAATCAGGCAGATGTTATAGTTATAACCAGTTAAAAAGAGAATTCAGAAAGTGGACACATCTATGGACCAACAACATTGATTCATAAATATTGAAATAAATGTGCAAATGGAAGCAAAACTCATTGTTTTGTGGCAGTGTGGGAGAAAGAATAGTCAATTAAACGTTTACTTGAGGCCGGGCGCAGTGGCTCACACCTGTAATCCTAGCACTTTGGGAGGCCAAGGCAGGCGGATCACGAGGTCAGGAGATCGAGACCATCCTGGCTAACACAGTGAAACCCTGTCTGTACTAAAAATACAAAAAATTAGCCGGGCGTGGTGGTAGGCACCTGTAGTCCTAGCTACTCGGGAGGCTGAGACAGGAGAATGGCGTGAACCCAGGAGGTGGAGCTTGCAGTGAGCGGAGATCGTGCCACTGCACTCCAGCCTGGGCTGCAGAGTGAGACTCTGTCTCAAAAAAAAAAAAAAAAGTTTACTTGACAGAACAGAATTTGCATGTCTATAGACAAGAATTATTTTGCCTTGCTGTAACCTATAACTTAAAGTTCTATGTATATACAATTATAGATGTATGTATATACATACATATATACACACACATACCCCCATCAGTACATATATATATTATAGATACTTTATAACGCTACTTTGCATATCTTTCTTAAGACACTTGATATTTTAATTTTCTAGAAGCAGCTCTAGGATTTCTTCATGTTAATTTTGCTGTCTTAAAAAGCTCATTGATTGTCGCTTTTACTTTGTTATTGTCACCCTCGTGGTTTCCTTATATGTTTCTTTCTAAATTCATGAAGAGGGTGCATCTTTTTCTCTTCCTTCCCTCCTTTCTGTCTCTACTATAATGAAAATATCTAAGACCACCAATTTATCCCTGAATATAGCCTGGGCTGCATCTTCCTACATATTTGACAAATCCAGAAATATTTGCATTTCAATTTGCATTCTCACCAGCATTGTCATTTTGATTAAAAGTTTGCTAACTTGATAAGCAAACATGTTATCTTGTCTTATTCATACTCTCTTTTCAGCTCTTATTATCAGCCTATACAAATGCTCAGTACTAATGTGCTGTTTTACTGTAGCTCTCTCAAAAAACAAAATCTTTCTTTGATCCTGACTGTTCTTTGAACTATTGCTCCATCTGTTTGTTTACAGCCAAAGTTCCTCCCATCCCTTTCTCAACTTAATTATAACCTGGTTTCTGACCCTGTGCCCTACTAAAACCTTTCATGCCAATGTCACCAGTGACCTCTGAATTGCTAAATCCAGCAGACTCCTCTCAGTGCTAGTCCTGGTTGAACTCTAAGGACATTTGACATTGTTGACCACCTCTTTGTCTTGCACCTTTCTTTCCTTGGCTTTCATGACAACATTCTTTCCTCATTTTCCTCTATTTCCATGACCTTTTTTTTTTTTTTTTTTTTTTTTGAGACAGAGTCTTGCTCTGTTGCCCAGGCTGGAGTGCAATGGTGCAATCTCGGCTCACTACAACCTCCACCTCCCGGGTTCAAGCACTTCTCCTGCCTCAGCCTCCCACGTACCTGGGATTACAGGTGTGTGCCACTACGCCCAGCTAATTTTTTGTATTTTAATATAGATGAGGTTTCGCCATGTTGGCCAGGCTGGTCTTGAACTCCTGACCTCAGGTGATCCACCCACCTTGGCCTCCCAGTGTTGGGATTACAGGTGTGAGCCACCATGCCTGGCCCTTCTATGACCACTTTTTCAGCCTCCATTCCTCCATTGCCCCCTAAACATGAGTGTTCTCCTTGGCTCCATCCTTTCTTCCCATTCTACATAGTCCACCTGGGTTATTGCAACAGTGACCTTGACTTGAATCAGCACCTCTATGCAGCTGACTTCCAAACCTGTCTTTAACCTCTTCTGAACTACAGGTTATATTTCTATCCTCGTACTTCTCTCCTAAATGTCTCGAAGGCATCTCAGTGCAGCTCATCCAGACGGGTTTCTTCAGGCACCTTATTTTTCTTCTTGCTATTCCTGTCTTAGTTACTAGATCTTTACTCCTTACTAAGTCTCCATCTTTGCTGCTTTTTATTTTGCTGTATCTGCCTTGCCTTGGCTCCATTTGCCATTGATATGGTTTGGATCTGTGTCGCCACCCAAATCTCATGTCAAAATGTAATCCCCAGTGTTGGAGGTGAGGCCTGGTGGGAGGTGATTGGATGATGGGGGTTGTTTCTAATGGTTTAGCACCATCTCCCTAGTGCTGTCTCAGGATAGAGTTATCATGAGATCTGGTTATTTAAAAGTGTGTGTTACCTCCCCATTCACTCTCTCTTGCTCCGGCCATGTAAGACGTGCTTGCTTCCCCTTCGCCTTCCACCATAATGGTAAGTTTCCTGAGGCCTCTCCAGAAGCTACTATGCTTCCTGTACAGCCTGCAGAACTGTGAGCCAATAAAACCTCTTTTCTTTATAAATTACTCAGCCTCTGGTATTTCTTTATAGCAGTGTGAGAATGGATTCATAACAGCCATCTACCTTTTATGCCATTGTATATTGGCTGCTGATCACTCTGTGGAGACAAACTTAGGAATTCCAGGCCAATTTAGGCCTTCAGTGTGGAACAGGATGTGGTTTTTTTGTTTGTTTTGTTTTGTTTTGAGACAGAGTCTCGCTTTGTCATCCAGGCTGGAGTGCGGTGGCGCGATCTTGGCTCACTGCAAGCTCCACCTCCCGGGTTCACACCATTCTCCTGCCTCAGCCTCCCGAGTAACTGGGACTACAGGCACCCGCCACCACACCCGGCTAATTTTTTGTATTTTTAGTAGAGACGGGGTTTCACTGTGTTAGCCAGGATGGTCTCGATCTCCTAACCTCGTGATCCACCCGCCTCTGCCTCCCAAAGTGCTGGGATTACAGGCTTGAGCCACCGTGCCTGGCCCCTGAACAGGATGGTTTTTATAAGTCTGTTCACCCTCCTCACACCTCAGGGATTACTCCAAACTCATATCTCTTCACTCCCCTGTATCTCCCACTACCTTCTCTCTCTCTTGTTTCTTCCATCCCTCCTTTGCCCTCCCTCTGACTCCATCTCTCTCACTCTCTCTCTCTAGAGAGAGAGAGAGAGAGAGATTGAAAGAGAGCAAAAGGCATGATCCAAGCCTTTCACTTTCCTGTGTCTCAGCCCTCCCCTCCTGGGCTGAGGGCCCGTCCTCTGAATTCTCCTGCAGCACATGGAGCCCTACACATTCCCTCCCTCTTTCCATACTTTCAGCCTCTACTTCTTTCCTATTAACCATAAAATATGCTCAATTCTCTATTTTTTGAAAAGCAGATTTCTCTCTTAATTTTTAGGTAGGTTTCCCTTTACTCATGCCTGCACATCTTTCCTTTCTTTCACAGCCAAGCTTCTCTTGAAAGTAACCCACATTTACTTTCTCTACTTCCCCACCTCCCTTTCATCTTACATCATTGCAGTGGGAAGTCTGTCTCCACAGTCCTGCTGAAACTGCTCTGATAAAGGCCATCACTGATCGACTCACTAGCCAATCCCTTGACCTCTCTCCAGCCCTCACCTGTGGCATTTGAGACAGTTGACCACTCCTTGACCTTCATAACAAAACTCTTACAGGTGGGCATAGTGGCTCATACCTGTAATCCCAGCACTTGGGGAGGCCAAGGCAGGAGAATCGCTTGAGCCCAGGAATTTGAGTCAGCCTGGGCAACATAGTGAGATCCCATCTCTAGAAAATGTCAAAAAAATTAGTCAAGCATGGCACATATGCCTTTGGTCCCAGCTACTTGGGAGGCTGAGATGGGAGGATTGCTTGAGCCCAGGAAGTCGAGGCTGGAGTGAGCTGTGATTGTGCTACTGCACTCCAGCCTGGGCAACAGAGCAAGACTCTGTCTCAAAAAAAAAGAAAAAGGAAGGAAGGAAGGAAGGGAGGGAGGGAGAGAGGGAGGGAGGGAGGGAGGGAAAGAAACAAAAAACAACTCTCTTGTGCTTCTGCTGTTTCTCTGATCGTTCCCATTCCCCTTCCTTGGCAGCATCCCCTTTGTCCTCCCACTGCTGGTGCTTCTCTGTCTTTGGCTCTCCTGTGCTCTGTGCTCTCCTCCCCTGCCTTCCCGCTGGCTCCTCTCTCCCTTCACACACTCTCCGTGTGTGCTGACTGCCCCCTGCTTTCATGTTCCCTCTATTACCACTCTGTGTAGACTCCCAAATCAACACGTCCAGCCTGACCACTTACCTGAACTTGAGACCCTGGTTGTCTCCTGCCTTCTGTACATCTCCACTTTTGTGCCTCAAAGACACCATAAAACTTGATGCATCCAAGACAGTAGGTAAAGAGGACAAGGATACTTTGGGAGGCCGAGGCGGGCAGATCACGAGGTCAGGAGTTCAAGACCAGCCTGGCCAATATGGTGAAACCCCGTCTTTACTAAAAATACAAAAATTGGCTAGGCTTGGTGCACACCTGTAGTCCCAGCTACCCAGGAGGCTTAGGTAGGAGAATCACTTGAACCCAGGAGGCAGAGGTTGCAGTGAGCCAAGATTGCACCACTGCACTCCAGCCTCGGTGACAGAGACTCCATCTAAAAAAAAAAAAAAAAGGGACGAGGAAAAGTAACTAGAAATAGTAAGAGAGAGAGGAGAATGAGAGAGGGGGCTGTGGGCAGGGGAAATTAATTTCCAATGAATTTTTATGCATATCTCCATTTGCCTCTGCTCTGTTTGGAACACGTGCCATCTTCATCCCCACCTTTTTTCACTAGAGCTGTGGTTCTCAAAGTGTGGTCCCCAGGCCAGGAGCACATCAGCATCACCTGGGAACTTGTAGCAATACAAATTCTCAGGTTTCACCTGGGGCCTACTGAGCCAGAACTTCAGAGGTGGGGCCCAGCAATTTCTGTTGCAATAGCCCGTGCAGGTGATTTTGATGCCTGCTGAAGTTCGAGAGCCCCTGCACTGGTGAATGACTCATTCTTCATGGCCCAGCATCAGTGCTGCTTCACCTGCAGAGCCTTCCCTGGTCCTGTCAGTTAGAACTAATGACTTTCTCCTCCATGTTCCTGTAGTACTTTATTCATGCCAATTATATAGCATTTATTCTATCATAGTTAGCTCTTTAAGAATCCTCCTCCCCCATAGATTATGAGGTCTAAGGTTAATATTAATCTTTGTATTTCTAGCACTGGCCTAGTGCCTGTGCAAAGTGGACATATATTACATTATCACAAATTACTTTTATTTTTCCTGCTCCTTGCCTTTTCTTCTTCCTTTCTTCTTTGCTTGAACCTGACTTCGGGATATGAATAAATTACCAGAATGAGACCTTACCAATGAAAGGTAATGTTTTCATTGGATTCAAGCTTTCAACCCGTTTATATCTATCTATCTGTGTCAGGGTTCAAAGAGAAGCAAAACCATGATGTATACACACACAGTTTACAGGGATTTGAGCTTACTTAATTGTAGAGCTGGTTAAACTGTGTGAAGCTGTTTTCTTCACTTCTGATGCTGGAGTTAGAAGTCCACTGGGCAGAGAGTTAGGAAGGGACAGATCCATGGGAAGAAGGCATGGAGGGAGAGCACAGGGAAGCAACCTACCACAAGCTCAACTAGAACTCATGAGCATCAACCCGGACCCACAAGGACTCTGGAACCCGGTCAGCCCTCGTCAGCCTTGATGGTGTGAGTGTCCTGCAGAAAGAGGGTACCTTTCGTCGTGGAGCTAAACACACTCCTGACCCAGCAGTCAGAGAAGCCCAAGAAGCATCTAGAGGAAGGGGGAGCAGTGGCAGGCCCAGCAGATGCCCCACACCAAGTAGGGGAGCCACAGAAAAACAAGTACGTGTGCGAGCTGTGAAAGCACCTGCCCTGATCCTCGGAACATAAGAACAGAGTGGCTCTGAACATCTAAAATTATTCCAAAATAAAATGGGAGCATTTTTGTAAATGGCTGCTGCTTCACTTTCACCTCCAAATTACGTGTGAAAATGTCTCTTGTGTCCATTCTCACCGGAAACACACAGGTAAGGAAACTCTGGGAAACACAGATCAGGTGAGCCAAGGTGACACAGTACAAAGCCACCACAATATCTACATGACTGAAGCTGAAATACCTGAGGTTTACTCTGTGAAGTAAAATAGGAGATATGGGCAATTATTTGCCAAAAAAAAAAAAAAAAAAAAAAAAGACCCAGTATGATCTGGGTGGTGAGGGAAACCTTTCCTAGATTGGCTGACAGTGGAATCGGTTCTGGAAAGATGGGTAAGAATTACACGGGGAAGACATGCCAGGGGAGACAAAATCATGATTCTTAACCGAAGACCCTCGGTCACCAGTGAAAGGCATAATTACGCTCAGTATGTAGTCTTTACTGAGGTAGGATAGACTTCAGAAAGACTATCAGTAAAGATCGAAAGCGAGGCCATCTAGTTTTAATTAATTAGAAGACCATCTAAGCATTATAATTAATTGAGAGGTTTTTGTAAGTGGTGAGTGTCATAAAGCATAATAAAGTTTAGTTGTAGTGACAATAGCCCAGGAGTTTGGATTCAACCACTTACTAGCTGTGTGACCCTGAGCAAGATATTAAACCTCTGTAGGCCTTTATATTTTCATTTGTAAGTTGGCAGTAAAAATAGTCTCCACCTTACAGAGCTGCTGTAAGGGATTAATAAGAGAATCCATGTAAAGTACTAGGCAGAATGTTAGGCACAGGGCGTATTAACTGCTGCCAATATCCTGTCATCATCATTATTATTGTTGTTGTTATTATTTCCCAAGGAAATACTTTTTTAGGCAGGGTGATTCCAAAGGCCAAATGATATGTTTGACCATTCAAAGTACCTGGCCAATTGAGCAGATAGGATCTAGCACTGACTGCCAGAAGAAATGTGTTCTACTTGTTCTTATTGCTTCCTTGGATTCAAATATAGTTGTCCTTATCTCCTCATCCACAACCCCAAAATGTTTTTCTGTACTTTCCTATCAAAGTTTTTTATCTTGGGTGAGAGCAGTGGCTCACACCTATGATCCCAGCACTTTGGGAGGCCAAGGTGGGAGGATTGCTTGAGCCTAGGAGTTTGAGACCAGCCTGGGCTAAATGGTAAAACCCTGTCTCTACTAAAAATATAAAAATTAGCCAGGTGTGGTGGAGTACACCTGTAGTCCCAGCTATTATGGAGGCTGAGGTGGGAGGATCACATGAGCCCAGGAGGTGGAGGCTGCTGTGAGCCATGATCATGCCACTGCAGTCCAGCCTGAGTGACAGAGCAAAACACTGCCTGAAAAGCAAAAACCAAAACAAAAGAAAATGTTTTTTTTTTTCTTTTGCCTAAGAAATGGGCTTTGCAGCCTTTCTCCACTACCTGCTTTTATCAGGCCTTGGGCAAGGACGGTTTTACAACCCAGGGAGCAAACCACAGCCACCCTGCCCACTCATGAGGCTGTGTGCATGTGATCATATGGCCTCCCTGTGGCAGAATTTAGGGACTTGTCTTGTGGGGGCTCAGAAAAACAGACTAATGTCCATCCACAGCCGTGGGTGTCATTTCGTAACCATATTCAAAGCTGTTAAGCATTTTTCTGCCAGAGAGAAAGGGCTGGATATCTTTTCATCTTTGTTAAACAATGAAAAACAAAGAATGGAATGTTATCTTTTAATTAAAGAGCTATTCTATCCCCCTTTCTTTATCCTGAATATTGAGTTTTCATAAATCTTTATCTCCTGTAAATCTTCAGTCTCATCCCTCCCACCTCCCATCGTTAATTAGATTTTCTGGTTTGTAGCCACTTGAAGTGGAGAAGAATCACTGAACTAGACTTTGGAAACAATACAGTTCTGGTTTTATTACTCAGTTTCAGCATGGATCAGATTCTCAGAATGTACTTTCATTTACATATCTGTCTTTTATAACAAAATCTACAGATCCTATCAATGCAACAATTTTTTTCTCCTTTACCAAGCCCCAACTGACTTTATTCCAAACACGCAAATTCACTAGCAGAGTACATTTTAAAGTTTCTATTCATTGAAAGGTGTGTACTGCCGGCCCTGTCTCAGCTGCGTTTGCAAGAATGAAATGCCTCAAGTGTTCTTTGTATGGTCACCTCCTACCTCCAAAATATTTCTTGAATTCATTGATTTCACAATGCTTGATTCAGTATACCTGTGTCTCTCTGAGAACATTGCAATAGGTTCCTGCTCCCCCAGTACTATAGCCATGCTGTAATCCTCCTCATCGGTAAAAATCCTTCTCATTTAGTTTGTAATCACACCGTGTTTCTGTGCCTTTGTTTGAGCGGTCCCTTACCCAGGATGCCTGTCTAGCTTTATCTACTTGGTGAATTCCTTCCAGACCATCTTAATGTCACCTCCTCTATTCATCAGTCCCAGCTTCCTCAGGTGGGATTATGTTTGCCTTACTCTGGGCTTTGTAGGACTTGTTTGCATTATCAAAGTTGCTACATTTGCATTCGTGATTACGTAATTGTGTCTGTCTCCTCCTCTAGATGCCTTCAGGTTAGAGTCTGCCTTTTTCATAATTGTACCTTCCTACTACCCAACAGAATACCTGACCCAGGGAAGGCACTGGGTAAATACTTGTCAAGTGAATGAAAATCTCCTTTTTCAGTGGTTATATAAATAAGAAGGAAAGACATCATAAAGACAATTACTTGAGTAATTTTCTGCAGAGACTAAAGAAAGCTGCAAGTAATTTGTTTGCGATTTAAAAGAAGTGGGTAGATTAAAAGAAATTCACAGCTAAATAATGAAACGTGGGGGTCCCAAGACACATGTCTCTCTTTTTAGAAATGTCTACCTAAATGTACAATGAATGTTTTTGGAAAAAGAAAAAACAGATTTTTTTTTCAACACAAAAATCAAAAAATAAAATACTTATGAAATAAACTTAGATTCTGTAACCTAATTTTGAATTATGGTCATGTTTTAGTTGCTGTGTTGTTTTTGTTTTGTTTTTCGCGTGATCTCGGCTCACTGCAAGCTCCGCCCCCCGGGTTCACGCCATTCTCCTGCCTCAGCCTTCCGAGTAGCTGGGACCACAGGCACCCACCACCACGCCCTGCTAACCTTTTTTTTTTTTTTGTATTTTTAGTAGAGACGGGGTTTCACCGTGTTAGCCAGGATGGTCTCAATCTCCTGACCTCGTGATCTGCCCTTCTTGGCCTCCCAAAGTTGTTGTGTTTTAATAAAGTAGGTTATTTGAGGCCAGGTGTAGTGGCTCACACCTGTAATCCCAACATTTTGGGAGACGGAGGTGGGCGGATCACCTGAGGTCAGGAGTTCAAGACCAGCCTGGCCAACATGGTGAAACCCCCCCCATCTCCACTAAAAATACAAAAATTAGCCAGGTGTGGCGGCAGGCGCCTATAATCCCAACTACTCAGGAGACTCAGGCAGGAGAATCACTTGAACCCAGGAGGTGAAGGTTGCAGTGAGCTGAGATCACGTCACTGTACTCCAGCCTGAGTTATTTAAAAAAAAAAAAAAGTTATTTGTGTTGTAGGAGTTATTAAGAAATTATTTTAGGCAAATAGAGAGGGAAAGGGGTCTTTGGGAAGTTTTCATTTTTTAAAGCATTTCCGGAAAGTTTCTTGTAAGGCCCCACCAGGCCGGCAAACTTTGATATACAAATGCAGGCCATTAGAAACTGGGTCCACCCAAAATGGCGATTCCTGCAGCCTTCTCGCCCTTGCCTCACATGTTCCTGGCAACATGGCCACCCCCACATATCCCCACGTGTGTAGAACATCATGGCAATGCATTTGCATATTAAAAGGCTGGGATGAGAGGGCCAGCTTTCTCGCAGGGCTACGTAAGTGACATGCCTAGTCAAACCAATCCCCTGAGCCCTATGCAAATCAAACACCGCCTCCTCCAACCTCTGTATATACACCTGACTGGTATCCATGACAGGTGGGGACCTCCTCTTTTGGTTTTGGAGCACCCCCCCGCCCCCATCCCTCTGGCTGTGTACGGGGGAGCCTCTTCCTTCTGCCTTTCTCTTTTCTTTCCGGCCTATTAAACTCCTTAAAACCACTCCTCATGTGTCCGTGTCATTTTATCTAAACTGGCATGAGGACAAAGAACCCTGGTGTTCCTCCACTCATCAAAGCTGTATCATTTGGACCCTACCCTCTGACAAAGATTCTTCATGTGACTAAACTTTGGTCAGGGCTCCTGAACCTTCTACTGGGCCCACCTGTGAATGCCTTGTAAAATCCCGTTTTAGCAAAAAAACCCCAGCCTTCAATACCTGATCATTCTCCATGTCGGGTTTCTATTCTCCACCATCCCCCAGGTGACATCTGATCACCCTGGTGTCTTTGGCAAGAATCCCGTTAGGTTGGTTTAGCCAGAATCCCCTCTTACCCCTTATATTTCCTCTTAGTAATTTTCTGTCCACAGCCCCCCACCCAGCTCCTTGGCTATAGATTCCCACTTGCTCATGCTGTATTTGGAATTGAGCTCAATCTCTCTTCCTAACTGCAAATCACATTGCAGATGTCCCCGTACCTGTCTCCATGGTCCTGAAGAAAGTCAGCCTTACTGCGCTTTAACAGGTGTCATTAAATAGTTTTTTCTGTAACATCTCTCTTTCCTTTCATTCCTTTATCATTATGCAGAAGCTGAAGACCATACACCGTGCTATCTGATGCCTCTCAGGGAAGTACAAATTTTGATTTCATGCATTAAGATGCTGAACTTCCTTTGTACCCAAATAAACCTGCAAGCATCTCTTTTCCTTTGTAATTTTATCATTTAACTCAGCAGGGAATAAAATTGCCAGGGCTACTGCCTGCTAGCTGATTGCCAGAATGTGTTCTGTGGCGTGTTATTGGAGCTTACTCCCATCTTGTCAAAGCCATTTCAAAAGTATCCAGTGTTTTCGTCTCTCTACATTGTTTCACTTTGGTCGCTTGTGGATTTTGGTGAGATAACCAGGACTGGCCACACTCAATCTTACCATTTCAGACCAGAGGACTCCCAAGGCAGGGAGCTGTGGTTAGAATATGGGGGTGGTAGTTCTTCCTGTAGCCTCCTAACCTGTTTCTACCTCCCATGTTTTTATGGTTTTGGAGAATACCATAAACAAAGAGCAAACAAAGAGTAAATTTTTTTTTTGAATAAAGTTCTCGCTCTGTTGTCCAGGCTGGAGTACAGTGGTGCAGTAATGGCTCACTGCAGCCTCGACCTCCCAGGTTCAAGCGATTCTCCCACCTCAACCTCCCAAAATGCTGGTATTACAGGTGTGAGCCACTGCATCCAGCCCAAAGAGCAAATTTCATCCTCTAAGCACCACCTTCACTTTATCACTAATAAGTCAGTGCTGCCCATTGCCCAAGCATGGCCTCCTTCAGTCCCCCTCCTGAGCGTTCTGTCCTGGCCCCACACAGTCTGACTGTGGATGCCTCTCCAACCTCACCTCCCACGTCACATCTCAATCAGTTACCCTGTGTGTCATCCCCTCTGCATCACCGAGTCTTCTCCACAAACATTTTGCATTTCCTTTTCACCAAGATACTCTTGCTGATAGCCTTCCATTCCCTTTCAGCATCTTACAATTCTGTTTACTACCCAAGGCCCAGCTTGAATGCTACCTTCTCCATGGACCCTGTTCTAATCCCCATGGTCAGAATTAATCACTCGTACTGTGTGGATGTAAGAATTCATCTTCTATGTGTGTATGGCAATTTTCAGGCTGTTCCGCATGCTGTAGTTATTTGTTTACATTTCTGTTCCCTTAGCCAAGGCTTCTGCTTTTGTTTTGCTTTTTTCAATCTTATATTTCCCATTTGGTAGCACAGTGCCTTTCATTTATTCTTCACCAGATACTTATTGAACACTGCTATGGGTGAGGTCTTGTTTTAGAGACTGGGGAAAAACAAGGAGCAAAAGGTAAAAATCCCTACCCTCGTGGAGCTTGCAATTAGTGGAAGAAGAAAGTCTGGGATTAAAATAGATAAAATGTAATATTAGGTGCTATGGAGAAAAATATAGCAGGGTGACATAGGAAATTCTAGGGGTTAGGGGATTTTCAATGGGATGCTCAGGGAAGGCCTCACCAAGAAGGTACCATTTTTGCCAAGACTTGTGGTGAGGGAGCAGCCATGTGCCTTTCTGGCGGGACAGGGGACAGTACACCATATGTGTGGCCTGTGCAGGGAGGTGTCTGATGCGTTCAAGTAATGCAAGGAGACTGGAATGGCTGGAGCCAGGGGTGAGTAGTGCGTAAAGTCAGAGAGGAAGGGACGGTTGCTCTGAGGTAGGGGCTTAGCCAGTTTTTGTGTGTGTTTTGTTTGTTTATTTTTAGAGACAGGGTCTCACTTTGTCACCCAGGCTGGAATGCAGTGGTATGACCATAGTGCTTATTGTATCCTCAGTTTCCTGGGCTCAAGGCTCTGCCTTCTGAGTAACTAGGACTACAGGCACCTGCCACTACACCTGGCTAATTTTTTAATTTTTTTGTACACATGGAGGCTTGCTATGTTGCCTAGGTTGGTGTTGAACTCTTGCCTCCAACAATGCACCCACCTCCGTGCTGGTATAACAGGCGTGAACTACCATGCCCAGCCTTAGTAGGGTATTGAGCTAAAGGATGACATGATCTGATCAGTGCTGTCATAGTATTTCCCTGGCTGCTGTAGCAAGGAGTGGTTCAGTTTGAACTCTTATTTTGGCTCAGGATTTTGGGCACATTGAATGTGGGGTGTGGGAGAAATTGAGGTGTCTAAGACGATCTCAAGGCTTTCGGCCTGAGAAAGAGGAAGGATGGGGAGCCACCATTCATGGAGCAAGGCAGACTGCGGACAAAGCAAGTTTGGGGAGCAAGACTGGGAGGACACTGTGGGTGCTGACATAGAAAGGTGTCCACACTGAGATGTCCACATTGCATGGTTAAGTAAAAAATTTCACACTTTCACATATGTGGGGGAGAACCTGGGAGGATGTATATTGAACCATTAACAGTTAACTGTTTCAGGCATGGCACTACTGGGCATTTTTACTTTCCAATTATGAATTGCATGTCTATATAATTCACAAGTCCAGATAATGTAAAGGTAACAAAAATGCCTAAGACCAGTCTGCCCAGGTCCACTGTCTAAGCCCTCAGTGTGACAGGTTTCTTTCATCATTCACTAGATGGTGCACAAACTGCAGAACACCTCACAATGACAAATTTATAAGACTGTTTTCTAAACCAGAATGGAAATGTACAGTAGACTCCTTTATCAGCGGTTTCACTTTCCACAGTTTCAGTTACTCATAGTCGACTGAGGTCCAAAAATATTAAGATATTTTGAAATAGATGGGGAGGAGCACATTCACATAGCTTTTATTACAGCATATTATTATAGTTGTTCTATTTTTTTATTTTATTATTAGTTGTTACTCTCTTACTCTGCCTAATTTATAAATTAAACTTTATCTTATGCATGTATGTATAGAAAAAACATCGTGGCCAGGCTTGGTGGCTCATGCCTGTAATCCCAGCACTTTGGGAGGCCGAGGCGGGTGGATCACTTGAGGTTAGGAGTTCGAGACCAGCCTGGCCAACATGGTAAAACCCCATCTCTACTAAAATTACAAAAATTAGCTGGGCGTGGTCACACGTGCCTGTGATCCCAGCTACTTGGGGAGGCTGAGGCAGGAGAATCACTTGATCCTGGGAGGCAGGAGTTGCAGTGAGCCGAGATCTTGGCCACTGCACTCTATCCTGGGCAACAGAGTGAGACTCCATCTAAAAAAAAAGAAAGAAAGAAAGAAAGAAAGAAAAAGAAAGAGAAAGAACATCGTATATATAGAGTTTGTTACTATCTGAGATTTCAGGCATCTCTTGGGGGTCATGGAATGTGTGTGTCCTTTGTGGATAAGGGGGTACTACAGCATTCACCATGGGGCTAAAGCAACAATAGTTGTTTGCTTAGGAAAATCCTTTCTGGTGAGTAACTCTGTTCAGAAAACCATGTTGTAGGCCAAAAGGTGACATGATAAATGTAGATTTACAACAAAAGAAGTGAGGATATTTCTGTCGAGCAGGTTTGGCAGATTGCTGTTCTTTACTGTCAGGTTGCCTCTTTCCAGAAGACTAACACTCGTCCTCCAAATCAAAGCAGTTTGCTCCCCCATACGACACTGTTCAGACACACTGAGAATGCTAATGGTTCAACTTCTTCAGTCAATGAATATGCCCTTAATTCACCCCAGGCGAGGAACAAGTCAAGATATTGGGGGGAGTATAACTGATTTGAGAATCCAAATAATATGCTATAAATAGTTATCTAAGGAAGAGAACAGGCTATCTAATAACTGATGAGCTACTTCTAAAAGAAGAATATTCTCTCAGTCCATTTTTTTGTACTCTACCAAGTACCGTAGAGCTGCTTTAAAGGTGAATTAGTCAGGTTCCAATCCTGGGAAGGAAGTTGTGCAGGCAGGTGGCAAGTCCTGAAAGGTACAACAGTGCCCATTGTCTAGAAACTGGGCAGCCAAACCCCAGTAGGGAGGAGCCTGCTGGTCTAGGAATGGTAAAGGGAACAAAAAGAGAAACCCCTCGTATGTCTCAAAGGATGATCCCCCCAAACTCCGCCCTGCCCTACCCTCCCACCTAGGAGAGGAAAATGGTGTCAACGTATGATCCACTTCATAGGGAAGTAGAGGCGGCTGAAGAAGGCAGCTGGCATAAAAAGCTGTAAAGGGACAGCCAGGAGAGGACTGTCCTATAGAGGTAGCCCAGGACAAAGCCCAGTGCATCCCGGGTCTGGTAAGCAACACTGGAGCCTTTGGAGAGCCGCTGAGGGGCACACTGGCCAGAGGCCAGGGCACGGAGCAGCTCATGCCGGTCACTACTTTCTTTCTTTTTTTTTTTTTGAGATGGGGTCTCGCTCTGTCATCCAGGCTGGAGTGGAGTTGCTTGATCTCGGCTCACTTCAAGCTCCACCTCCCGGGTTCAAGCAATTCTCCTGCCTCAGTCTCCCCAGTAGCTGGGATTACAGGTGCCTACCAATATGCCTGCCTAATTTTTGTAGTTTTAGTAGAGATGGAGTTTCACCATGTTGGCCAGGCTGGTCTCGAACTCCTGACCTCAGATGATCCGCCCGCCTCAGCCTCCCAAAGTGCTGGGATTACAGACATGAGCTACCATGCCCAGCCTGGTCACTACTTTCTGAGAATATTTTTTAGTCTCTGTAAGGAGAGGTAGGAAACATGTCAGTCCTCTTAGCAGTGAGCTTGCAAGTTGTTGTTAGAATATGTTATTGCTCTACGTGCTTCATTTTCTTGGTTAACTATGGAGCCACTTTGTCTGATGACTGTATAGTCAGTTTTCCAGAGAAACAGAACCAATAGGATATATAGAGATATAGAAGAGGAGATTTATTATGAGAATTGGCTTAGGCAATTATGGAGGCCAGAAGTCCCATGATCTGCCATCTGCAAGATGGAGACCCTGTAAAGCTGGTGTTACAATCCAGTCCAAGTCTGGAGGCCTGAGAGCAAGGGGAGCCGATGGTGTAACTCTCAGTCCGAAGCTGAAGGCTTCAGAGCCTGGGAGGGGTGCAGGTATGTGTCTGGAATCCCAAGGCTGAGACTGGAGTTCTGATGTCCAAGGGCAGTAGAAGATGGGTGTTCCAGCGCAAGAAAAGAGAGAATTCATTCCTCCTCTGCCTTTTTGCTCTATCAGGGCCCTCAATGGATTGGGTGATGCCTTCCCACATTGGTAAGGGTGAGTTTTCTTTACTTAGTCTACTGATTCAAATGCTGATTTCTTACAGAAACATCCTGACAAGCACACTCAGGAATAATGTTTTACCAGATACCTGGGCATTCTTTAGCCTAATCAAGTTGACACCTAAAATTAACCATTACAGTGATCTTCCTGATTTTGCTCCTATTTCTGAGGACACACTCTTATTCATATCCTGTAACCTTATAAGTGCTTAAAATAAACATGAAATGACATCATTGGTGGGAAATGAGAGAGGATTTAAGGAAGCTAGGGAAGGCTGATAATTTACAAGGTCTGTTCCAGGTCGGTTTTTGTACAGGGTACTGTATGAAGTGAGAAACTACATTGGGTCACCTTTCACGAGGTGTGTGGAGCACCAACAGGCTTTGGAAGGACAGGCATCAGGCAGTTAACTGCATTTTACAAGTCCCTGGTCTCACTGTTTTTCATTCTGGTCGTGTAGTGGTCCTAAGCGTTCTGGGGAGTTCGGGTTCTGAGTTGTTGATTAGTTCTTCTGGCCATAGGAAGGATGCAGGATGATGTACAACCTTCCCCACATCAGTCTGAACTCCAACAAGAAACCTATGATCTGGTATATTTCACATGTGTTTTGTCCTTCCAAAGAAGTCATCAGCGTAAAGTAATTTCTAAGAGACTATTTGAAGGATTTGTTCCTTTTGCTTCACCAAGAGGACATTAAAAGCATATTCTACATTCTCTGTCAGGTTTCTGACTGAGTTCCTAAGCAGTCATCTTTCAGCTGGAATAGATCTGCAGTTTTACCTTCTTTTTCTGGACCACAAATGGGATGGGCATCAGTGGTACTGAGACAACCATTTATAACAATAATAGCTTCCAATTATTGAATGCTTGCCATGTGCTTATCAAATAGTCTTATGTATGTTAACTCCCTTAATCTTCACCACAGCCCTAGGAAATAGGTACTATTATGATCCCCATTTTATAGATGAGAAAACTGAGGCTTAAAGAAGTTTAAGCAGTGTGTACAGTATCACCCAGCTACTAAGTGGCAGAGCCTGGATTTGAAACCAGAGAATCTGGATCCAGGCTATGTGCTCATGGTTCCTGCTCTGTTCTGAGTTCCCATTAGAATGGAGCATGGAAGAATTATCATTTTGACTATCACCCTGGTATAACACATCCACTGAGCAGCTGCCAGCTTGTTTGAGGAGGAGGTTCGAGTTTAGTGTTTGGGGCTTGATGGTCAAATGCATCTGCCTGGCATTTCTTAGTCTTCGTGTTCTACCATTAGCCACATAAGATTCAACCTGAATTTGCTTCTCGGGTCCCCATCTCTTGAACTTTCTGGGCCTGTCTGTCCTCTGGGGATCTGAGTGGTGCATTTCTTGTTGTGCTCTGGTTTGCTTCATGTTTGGTTGTTTCTCTTCACTGAACCAGGCCTGAGGTGTTGATGTCAGAGCCTAGCAAGGAGAGCCAGCATTGTGAATTGTGAAGGCTCACTGTTTGTTTTGGCACTTGGAGCTGTGACTATGGGCCAGAAAGAGGGTTGCTGTGATGCTATTTCAAAGCTGTAGACCAGGGGCTTCCAGGCACAAGGATCTCATTTTCAGTTAGCTTGTGGTCAGGCTGCCGTACAGATTTGGTTTTTTGGTTTGTTTGTTTTTGCCTTAGGGATAGGAAGGCACGTGAAATCACTGCCTATGGCTGAAGGACTAGAAGAGATTCTTTTTTTTTTTTTTTTGAGATAGAGTCTCACTCTGTCGCCCAGGCAGAAATGCAGTGGCACGATCTCAGCTCGCTGCAACCTCTGCCTCCTGGGTTCAAGCGATTCTCCTGCCTCAGCCTCCCAAGTAGCTGGGATTATAGGCGCGTGCCACCATGCCCGGCTAATTTTTTTATTTTTAGTAGAGACGGGGTTTCACCATGTTAGCCAGGCTGGTCTCCATCTCCTGACCTCGTAATCTGCCCACCTCGGCCTCCCAAAGTGCTGGGATTACAAGCGTGAGCCACCGCGCCCGGCCAAGAGATTTCTTTAGAACTGCTGAGTCAGTCATATTGGGAGTAATCACCTCACTGTCATCTATAAAATGAAATTAGTCATGTTACCCAGCCATTCCTATACTTCTCAGGGTGCTGTGCTGAATAAAATACAGTGAAATCTTTAAGGAAAACTTATGTGCGCATATTTATAAAACCTTTCTAAAAATTGTATATGTCAAAGGTGGGCCACTGCTAAGTGAGGAACCCATTCCCTGGCCTTAATTCCTCCCTGTGCTGAGGGGAACCACCTAGTCACTTGGAACTCTTGGGTATCAGTGGATTCACCAGAGTAAGGTTCTGTTAAGTTAGTGTCACCTCAGAATCGTTCTGTTAAGTTAGTGTCACCTCAGAATCAATGTACCTCTCTAGTAGCTAATGGACAGAGTGATTTTGTCATTTTTATAGAGAATAGGGTGAAACATCAGGTGAGGTGTTTGGGCTTCAATTAACAGAGTATCTGAATGTATTAGCTAGAGTGAAAGGTTCAGCTGCTATAACAACAATAAGGCAACAATAATGTGGCTTAAAAATGAATTTTTTTTTCACATAACAGTCCATGGTGGCTATTTCATATCAGTGAGGGGCGAAGGGGCTCATGATAACCAGGCCATCTGCAGCATAGCTCCTGTCTTCCGGTCATCGTGTCCCGGTTCATAGGAAATGAGTATGTGCCAGGCAGGCTTACATTCCATTGGCAAGAATTAATTCATGTGGCTACTTCACAGTGCAGAGGAAGATGGGGAGAGTCATGTAGCTGGGCAGCCATGTGCCTAGCTATTCCTCTGACACAGTGGAAGAAGAGAAGAATGGATGTTCATAGTCAGCTGGCTGTCTTTGCTGGAGTCAGTGCCTCTGACCACCAAGAATCAGTGAATGCCCCAATTTCTACACATAGAACACACTTGCTTCATCCCAAGGGAGACAAACCAAAGCCCCATCCAGTAAATGCACTGCCTGAAAATCCATGGTCGCTGGGTAACGTATGAATTATTTCCATTACGTTCCAACATGGTTCCTGATGGTCTTGCAACCTGTGAGCTAAAAGGCAAGTTATCTCCCGACTTCTGCACTCATACTCACATTCAATATACCACGGTAGAACAGGGAGCAGAAAAACACAATTAAAACTCCTATTGGAAAAAGAGGAGGAGGAAATGCACACAGCAGCCCCTGGTCCACAGCAAGGCTGGGATCCTGCAGCAGGCAATGGGAAGGCCCCTTGCCCCGGCAGAAGAGGAGCTTGCCTGACTAGACTCTGGTTCTGCTCTTCAGGAGAGCCCTTGCTCATGCTCTTGGTGTCCCTTGGTCTTGCCCTTGGGGAAGGGGCTTCTCTGTGTTCAGTTTCCTCCTTCGCCAAATCTGAAGTGGGTGCTGGGGTTATCCCCCGCCTTGGTGGCTGTTCAGCTTTTGCAGCCCACTGCCTGCTGGTGCAAATTTGGAAGTTTGAGAGTGCAACAGTCATATTACTGGCTTGGCTATGGTCCCTTTGCTAATGCAGTTCAGGTACTCAGAACTTCCAGCCAGTTCACATGCCAGCCTTCTCTCCCAACCTTCTTTCCAAGACTTGGGCTATCTGCCTACTTTATTTCTTTGCTTCCTTGCCCTCCATGTTTTCCTCTCTCAATGTAGTGGCAGCTATACGGAGCCCTCTGAGACAGTAGAGTTGGGAGGGAAGGCAAAACCCTTATTTTCATCTCCAGTCTCTTGCTGTTTGAGGTTTAGAAGTCACTGGCTTTTCCAACCCTTCAAGACACCAAATTTCTAAACTCTTCCTCTTCTTTTGTATCTCTCTTTGCAAATCAGTCCGGGTAGAGGCTCAATAGAAATGTAGTCTGCTTTTCAAGTTAGGTCAGGTGACAGGTTTTTTTTTTAAGGTCAACAGACTTTGTTGGCACACACCAGATTTTAGTCACACATTTTCCTTATGACTGTCTTTTTTTTTTTAATTGTGGTAAAATATCATGACATTAAATTTATGATTTTTTAAGTGTGCAGTTCATTGGCAAAACTGAAACTCCATACCCATTAAACAATACCTCCTCATTCCCGCTATTCCTTTTTGTTTGTTAGTTTTCCTTCTAACAGTCAGGCCCCTCTGCTGCAGGTCTGCTGGAGTTTGCTGGAGGTTCACTTCAGACCCTGTTTGCCTGGGTATCACCAGTGGAGGCTGAAGACCAGCAAAGATTGCTGTTTGTTCCTTCCTCTGGAAGCTTTTTCCCAGAGGGGCACCTGCCAGATGCCAGCCAGAGCTCTCCTGTATGAAGTGTCTCTCGACCCCTGCTGGGAAGTGTCTTCCCATCAGGAGGCACGGGGGTCAAGGACCCACTTAAGGAAGCAGTCTGTCCCTTAGCAGAGCTTGAGCGCTGTGCTAGGAGATCTGCCGCTCTCTTCAAAGCCGGCAGGCAGGAACATTTAAGTCTGCTGAAGCTGCACCCACAGCTGCCCCTTCCCCAAGTTGCCCTTCCCAGGGAGATGGAAGTTTTATCCATAAGCCCCTGACTGGGGCTGCTGCCTTTCTTTCAGAGATGCCCTGCCCAGAGGCCACTTTTTGTTTTTTGATAATAGCTATCCTAATGGGTGAGGTGGTACTTCATCTTTTTTGAAGTGGCTTTTTAAACTTCTAAAAATTTTGGTGAAATATATATAACAAAAACTGCCATTGTGACCATTGCTAAGTGTATAATTCAGTGGCATTAATTATATTCACATTGTTGTATGACCATCACCACTCTGTCTCTGAAACTTTTTCATCACCCCATTGATGAAAATTTTAAGTGAATTTTAGACATGTGACAATTGGCTGCTAAATAGTATACTCCTCTAGAAAATGGACATTTTCCTGTATAATGAAATCGTGTTATCATATGAGCCTTCATTCATTTTCCATTGGAGAGAACTTACTCACAGGGCCACACTTATTACAAAGGAGGCTGCGAAGTATAAGGTAGGCGAGCAGCCGCTTACCGAATTATAATGGAAGGAGACAGAGTGGATTTTGGTGCTCTACCACCCTACAGTAATAAAGCAATAATGACTTTTAATTTATTCACATTACAAGTTTGGAGGTAGGTGATATTGAGCATTTGGTAGTGTCTTAATGATGTTATCAAGGATTCAGTTCTTCCCACCGTCTAATCTGCCATTCTCAGTATGTTGACTTTGGGTCCTCATGTTTTTTTGTCTCGTGGTTACATTATGGCTGCCATAGCACTAGGTACCATATTTTCACTATAGCATCCCAAGTGGGAGAGAAGTAGGGTGGGCAGAAAAGAAACAATCCACTATCAAGGATGCAAATTCTTCCCATTTGCTGCTCAGTAGACTTCCCCTTGCATCTCATGGGCCAGGTTCAAAGGAGTCTAGAAAGGTACTTGTTAAAGGAAAATGAGATCACTATGATTGGCTTAACAACTCATGACCTATAGCCTTGGGCTGAGCACATTGCTGTCCCTAATAAAATTAGACTTCTATTAGCTAAGAAAAAGAGGAGAAATGACTGTTGGGTTGGCAGTTACATCTGCCACATGTGGGCAATATTTTTATTATTATTAAAGATATAAACGGACTCTGAAGAGGATCTTGGCATAGAAACTCTAAGACAGTATTATTGAATTGAAGTGCTGGTAGAAGGGAATTCCTTCTGGGATTATTCTGTCAATAGTGTAGGGACAGGCCAGGCGCAGTGGCTCACGCCTATAATCCTAACACTTTGAGAGTCCGAGGCAGGTGGATCGCTTGAGCCCAGAAATTCAGGACCAGCCTGGGCAATATGATGAGACCCTGTCTCTACAAAAATTAGCTGGGCATAGTGGCACACGCCTGTAGTCCCAGCTACTTAGAAAGCTGAAGTGGGAGGATCACCTGAACCTGGGGAGATTGAGTCTGCAGTGAGCCATGATCATGCCACTGCACTCCAGCCTGAGTGACAGAGTGAAACCCTATCTCAAAAAAAAAAAAAAAAAAAATAGTGTTGGGACAATGTGCTCCATTGATTTCTGAGAAAAAGAATCCTTAGGTCACTGGCATGAAAGGATCCCTATAGTCCTATAGTCATCTATCAGTTGAATGAAGGTGATTGCCTTTAGAAATCAAGACAGCATTGGAGAAAAACTAGTTGCCATTGGTTCTTAGGAATCATCATATTCTTTTGGGAATGGTAATGTTTAATAGAAATCTTTTACTACATATTGTTTCTTGCCAGCACTTATGAAAAATGTTGTAGGAACAGGGGGATTGGCCTCATTAATTGAATAATATTGTTTATATCTGCGGATGGAGGGAAGTCATATACTCTTAAAGTGACACCAGGTCACCTGACTATTATGCCTTCCCAAACTTAGGATTCAGTGAAAACAAAATTTTCTTTGTTAGCAGAACAAGTGTGACATTTGTTGGTTGTGTTTCATATCTCCCCAGGCTGATTTATATCCGAGAGCCTGCAAACATTTTAGGGGAAAAACAAAATAAACAGTCCTCATCATTACCCCTTATAATTACAAATGAATGATAAGATAATAAAAGCCCTTCACACTTGCCCATGACACAAAAGAAAAATAAGATTCACAGGTGGTTAAAAAACAAACCAAGGATGCTCTTGGTTCATGGGCACTGTGACAGTCGTGGTCATGAGTGGGCGACTCGTTCATCATTTCTGCTTCATTCCAGTTGGCCCTGAGAGCAGAATGAAAAACTATTGTAGCAGGAAGCTCATTTCCTGATAAATTACAAGACAAAAAAAGATAACCAAAGACCCCCAACAGCACTTTCAGCATAATACAGTTAACATTTATTGAAATGCCTACTGTATGCCAGCCACTGTTCTGTGTGCTTTAAACATATTTTCAATCCTCAGTAAAACCCTGTAAGGTAGATACCATTATTATTTCCACTTTGCTGATGAAGAAACTGAGGCACAGAGAAGACTTAACCAAGGACACACAACTAATAAGAGGCAGAGCTGGATTCCAAGCCCTGGTAGCCTGGCTCCAGAGTCTGTGAACTATAGCTACCTCTCTCCATTGCCCCAGGGAGGACAAAGTCCTTCTATTTATAATAAGCAAGTCCCTTCCAACCCTTGGAAATATTAACTACAATGACACTTCACAGTCATTGTTGTAAGTGGTTCTCACTAATCAAGTTTTTTTTTTGTTTTTGTTTTTGAGATAGAGTCTTGCTCTGTCGCCTAGACTGAAGTGCAGTGGTGCGATCACGGCTCACTGCAACCTCCGCCTCCCGGGTTCAAGCGATTCTCCTGCCTCAGCCTCCCAAGTAGCTGGGACTACAGGCGCGTGCCACCATGCCCGGCTAATTTTTTTTATTTTTAGTAGAGATGGGGTTTCACCGTGTTAGCCAGGATGGTCTCGATCTCCTGACCTCACGGCCCTAATAAAGTTTTTAAAGCTGTAAATGAAGATTGGGCTTTACTTTTCCATTTGTAGCTTCCATTTCCATTTGCTGCTTGATAAAATAGAAAGTTTGTCCTCAAGGATTAGCATGGGTAATGGTATGCTATGTTCTTTCACTCTGTAGCTTCAGTAGCTAACACTGTACAAACTATCTGTTTTGAATTTGATGACAGAAGTATGAATAATCATGTGAGTTTGACTTTATTTATTTATTTATTTGTTTGTTTGTTTATTTTTTGAGAAAGAGTCTCACTCTGTCACCCAGGCTGGAGTGAAGTGGAGCGATCTCGGCTCACTGCAACCTCCGCCTCCTGGGCTCAAGCGATTCTCCTGCCTTAGCCTCCTGCATAGCTGGGACTACAGGTGCGTGCCACCACACCCTGCTAATTTTTGTATTTTTACTAGAGATGGGTTTCACCATGTTGGCCAGGTTGGTCTCGAACTCCTGACCTCAGATGATCCGCCCACCTCAGCCTCCCAAAGTGCTGGGATTTCAGGCTTGAGCCACCCCACCCGGCCGTGAATTTTGACTTTATAAAGACCCCCTTTTCAAACCAACTAAAGGAGTTAAGAGTCTTAAATAATAAATTAATATGGGCTTATAGTAACACTCTGTTCACTTCCACAAAATCGTACATTTTCAAGTGGCCAGGTGTTCTCTTGGCTATCTGCAGCTTGAAGACTTCCAGAGCAACAAAAATGTCAATAGTGGGAGCCTCTGCAGACCTCATGCTACAGGTCATTTTCTCTGAGAGGAACAAAGAGAACTGCAGGGATGCCAGGTCACAAAGCGAGCGGTAGAAGGTGGGGATTTTCATCATCTGACTCAAAGTGTTGAAGAGCCCCACTGTGCAGTCTCACTCACACCACAGATTGAGTAAAAGAAAGTGAAGATAACTCAGACTTAGGGAATGACATTTATTGGAAGAAAAGAACATGCGACAGAAATATACAGAGAGTTTGCAGTATTGGCTCTTTAGGAAGAGTTGACCATCTGGATAACAGCTTTGCAAATCATTTGGATAAATGATACCATTTGGAGGAGAGTCTTCCAAAGCAAATCTAAATGCCAGAACCCTTTCAAGAAGGTTTATGCAGTTCTGGCTTTTTTCCTCCATTTGTTAGAAGCTCATGAGGTGACGTTGTCCTAGATATAATTAACCATTTAGGACATGGGAAGAATTATCTTTAATTTTTTTACTGTGAAGTATTATTGGAAGATTAATATCAACAGAGTAAATATTATGTAGAATAAAAAAGAAGTACGGGCCAGGTGCAGTGGCTCACACCTATAATCCCAGCACTTTGGGAGGCCAAGGCAGGTTGATCACCTGAGGTCAGGAATTCGAGACTAGCCTGGCCAACATGGTGAAACCCTATGTCTACTAAAAATATAAAAATTAGCCGGGTGTGGTGGCAGGTGCCTGTAATCCCAGCTACTCAGGAGGCTGAGGTGGGAGAACCACTTGAACCCAGGAGGCAGAGGTTGCAGTGAGCAGAGATTGCACCCCTACATTCCAGCCTGGGCGACAGAGTGAGACCCCATCTCAAAAAAAAAAAAAGCACAATTCAGAATGTAAAGATACAACAAGCCAGGTGTGGCGGTGCATGCCTATAGTCCCAGCTACTAGGGAGGTTGAAGTGGGAGGATCTCTTGAGCCCAAGAGTTTGAGTTCAGCCTGGACAACATAGTGAGATGCCATCTCTTTAAAGAAAAAATGCAAAGACAAAACTATTTTAGGAGTATGGAATATTCCATTCTTCTCCCCCTCTTTCCTTAAAGAGGGAAATGTACTCTTCTAGCTGGGAGGAAACTTGTGATTTAGCTCAGGGAAAGAGTGGAACTTATTCTTGCTAGGAAATATAAGTAAAGTTTGGGTGACACTTTCTAATGTGACTAGAAGCAATGGGCCAGTTTATTTTCATGGTGTCTGGAAGGATGCAAGAAAAAGATCCATCTCCTACTTTTAACTTTAATTCTCAGGCAGCAGTAAGGCAAAGTTAACAAAGTTAATTTGCCCATGGCAGTGGCTCACGTGGGTGGATCATTTGAGCTCAGGAGTTCTAGACTAGCTTGGGCAACGTAGTGAAACCTTGTCTCTACAAAAAATACAAAAAATTAGCCAGGTGTGGTGGTGTGCAGCTGTAGTCCCAGCTACTTGGGGGCTGAGGTGGGAGGATCGCTTGAGCCCAGGAGGTTGAGGCAGCAGTGAGCCATAATCACTGCACCCCATCCAGCCTGGGTGACAAAGCGAGATCGTGTCTCAAAAAAAAAAAAAAAAAAAAAAAAAAAAAAAAAAAAAAAGAGAGAGAGAGAGAGAGTTAATTTAATATATTGTTTATCCTTTGCAAAAAGGTACTTTCAGTCAGGTATCTGAACTTGTCAAGCCAAGGCAGCTCAGAGAGTCCTGTGAAACTAAACCAAATTAAACATTCATCTCCAGGAACCTCCTGGAATCCTTTCCCAGTACCTGGAGCAGCGAGCACATCAGAGTCGTTTCTCTATTGCGAATTCTTTAGTCACAATATAAGCTGACAAGCGCAGGTAAATGAGAATCAGTGGCTAAATGGGACATCCCAGTACCTTGAGCCAGGAAATTAGTATATAAAGCTATTGTAGCTTGATGCCATAGTCTTAGAATTATCTTGTTAACCCTCTTCACTCTACCTCCCTGCTTGAAAATTTCGATTCCCATATAGACATTCCTAAAAGGGGAGCCAGCATGAGTATTTGTCCATTTGACAATTGTGCCTCCCATTGTACATTAACAAGTTGTCATTCTGATTTATTCATCAATCTGTTGTAACAATAGTTAACATTTTCTCTGGGGCTGATAATTCTGAGTACTTTGGATCATTCTGTTTTTGCAAAGGTATAAAATACCAGACTTGGCTTAACCTCCAAGGTACTGCCACTCTGTCCTTGACATCCTTCTCCCTTTCTTTGCATTCAATAGTGTTCATTTAGTTGAATCTCACAATCTAGGTTTCAGCTCCTAGATTCTGTAACACCATAAGAAAATGGTGTCACAGATTTAAGTAACGACCCAGACCCTATTAGTCAGTTATTGGGAAAGCCGAGGTTGGGAACCAGATCTCCTAAGCATCTTGGCTGTACTCATCCTATTTGAGGACCCTGTTTCATTGGCAGACCTAGAATAATTGGTTTACTTACTCAATCATCACTCCTATTTTCTGTGCTCCCTCTACATTTGGCTACTTATGGAATTATTTTTGTTGGCATAATGGATAGCTTTATTATGAGCCCACAACTTTTTGGACATAAATAAATGAATAGAGACTCACTAGCAATACTGTGTATGCTTAAAATGTTCACTGTTCTTCCGTATTATATAAACTAGAAAGCCATGAACCACTAGTTCATACAATAGCTTTTATATATTGCGTAGAATGTTACGTATAAATAGTCGTATTCATTAGACCTTGCCTCAGTATTTCCGCCACCTGATATAGTACCTGGCACAGGTAGGGTGTCCATAATTTTGAGTTGGATTGTATTGGATTAGATTAGTTGCAAATTAAATTATTGAAAGTGGCTCTAATATCTTTCAACTCTATTCTGTAATTTAGATCTGTAAACTAGATTCTGTAATTTATTTAACACCACTGCCCAGATATGTGTTTAGACAAAGGCACAACTGTTGAAAGACACTTTATTAGGCCCAGTGTCTATCTCTTAGTCTGAAAGATCTACGTAATCAGGTAGACCAGTTCTGGGAACTAAGACCTCCTGAGATGTTGCAGATGGGATTGGTTCGCCAGCCTGAAGCGAGGAGCATCATGTTTCCTCTCTTGTCTCAACACTTGGAAGGTCTAGAGAGTCCCAGCATATGAAAGCAGATGTCTTGGAGGTATTCACAAATGGGGCAGTGCTGGTTCAAACCAGTAAACAAACTTTCTTTAATTGTAAAAAATTGTAAAAAAAAAACAACAACTTGTTTTAATTGTAAAACTCAAAATAAAGAGCATTGATATCTCCCTAGAGATGCCATTTAATCACATTGTTCTTCTGATTGTCAGGTCCCCAGTGGAGGTTACTAGAGCACTTAATTTCCTTAGAACAGGTGTTTTTGCCATAAGGATTATGTTGGCATCCAGTGTCTCCGATAGATTTTGTCTGGCAGTTAAGGCATAAAGTGATAGTTATTTCTTTATGTTTAATACTGATAATTTTTCATAGATACTTCTGGAGCTTCTAGTTTTCACTTCATTTGTGTGAGGGGGGATTTTTTATTTCTATATTTTTGTAACCTCCAAAACGCCAGACATATGTATTTTTTTCAGTCTATTTATTAGCACTAATTTAAAGTTATACACAATGCATTGTTTTACAGAACATTCATCTTTAGTCTCCTGCGATTGCTGCTCAATAACATGTCATGAGAAAAGTTCAGATTTGCAAAGCATTTGTCATTTCCTCCTGATAATTGCTAATTTATTTAGTAACCATTTGTTTTTAACACCTTTGTCTGCCAACCTATAGATTTATGTACAGATCAGCTCCATACATACATAAATGTTCATATTAGTACTAAAAGTAGGTTGAAGTATACCTTTGGTACTTAGCTCTTCTAGCGAAAGTCCTAACCTAACCCAAACTCTTTTGTCTTTTCTTAAATGTATCAATACTTATACAAGGATAAATGTTTTTATGAAAAATTTTCTGGCCGGGCACTGTGGCTCATGCCTGTAATCTCAACACTTTGGAAGGTCAAGGTAGGAGGATCACTTTGGGCCAGGAGTTCAAGACCAGCTTGGGCAACATAGCTAGACCCCATCTCTACAAAAAAAATTTAAAAATAAAATTTCTATTAATTCTTAACTAAAACTCTGGAACATTTAAGCTAGATAACAATCATCCATGTTAACTGTTTCAGGGATTTCCCACATGAGTAGGTGAGAATAATGATACCAATTTGAATCATGGTTTCATAAAATACACTTTTTTTTTCAGTTAGACTAAACTTTCTTTTTTGTTTGTTTTGAGACAGTCTCGCTCTGACGCCCAGGCTGGAGTACAGTGGCGCGATCTCGGCTCACTGCAAGCTCCGCCTCCTAGGTTCACGCCATTCTCCTGCCTCAGCCTCCCAAGTAGCTGGGACTACAGGCGCCCGCCACCACGCCCGGCTATTGTTTTGTACTTTCAGTAGAGACGGGGTTTCACTGTGTTAGCCAGGATGGTCTCGATCTCCTGACCTCGTGATCCGCCCACCTCGGCCTCCCAAAGTGCTGGGATTACAGGTGTAAGCCACCGTGCTTGGCCCAGTTAGACTAAACTTTCTATCTTGAAAGAGTGAAGTAAATGTTTTGCCTTAATTATTAATACGTGTTTATTTTATTTCAGTGGTACAGGCATGGATGGGAAGAAATGCAGCGTATGGATGTTCCTACCTCTTGTATTTACTTTGTTTACTTCAGCTGGATTGTGGATAGTGTGAGTATTTGCTCATTTAATTATTTAAGGATTCAGGTGCAATGTAGATACAAATGTAAACCTTAATAGTATATGGCAGCCGGGCACGGTGGCTCATGCCTGTAATCTCAGCACTTTGGGAGGCCGAGTCAGGCAGATCACTTGAGGTCAGGAGTTTGAGACCCTTGCCAACATGGGGAAACCCTGTCTCTACTAAAAATACAGAAGTTAGCCGGGTGTGATGGCACACGCCTGTAATCCCAGCTACTCGGGGGGCTGAGGCACAAGAATCGCTTGAACCCTGGAGGCAGAGGTTGCATTGAGCTGAGATTGCGCCACTGCACTCCAGACTGGGCAAGAGAGCAAGACTGTCCCCACCCCCCCAAAAAATAGTAGATGGCATATCTTTATGACTGTATTTATAAATACTTGAAAATAATATATTTTACTAATTCAACCTTGCTAAAGTCCTCATTTCTTTTCCCATTTTCTATTAACCAAAGTAAGTAACAAGAGTGAGTAATAATTATGCAAAGCCGGTGGTGAAGAATACTAGTTTATTTTGTGTTCATGTGTTCTTGTTGTAATGAACATTTTGTAAACAGGTTATATGAATTAATTATTTGCAAGATTTTCGAATTTGACACTAACATGCCATGGGTTCCGTCTGCAGTCCAGTTCATAGTCCAGTTATTCATGATTGGGTCTGATATGTTTTTGTTTTTTGTTTTTTGTTTTTGTTTTTTTTTTGAGACGGAGTCTTGCTCTGTTGCCAGGCTGAAGTGCAGTGGCATGATCTTGGCTCACTGCAAGCTCTGCCTCCTGGGTTCACGCCATTCTCCCGCCTCAGCCTCCCAAGTAGATGGGACTACAGGCGCCCACCACCACACCCAGTTAATTTTTTGTATTTTTAGTAGAGTCGGGGTTTCACCATGTTAGCCAGGATGGTCTCGATCTCCTGACCTCGTGATCTGCCCGCCTCGGCCTCCCAAAGTGCTGGGATTACAGGCGTGAGCCACTGCGCCCGGCCTGATATGTTTATAAAATGAATATCATTACATTGGAAGTCCTGGCTTACCACAGAACGTTCCCACACTTGCTTATTTTAGGTAATATTCACTTTAAGAAAATTATTTTAGTTTCTCAAAGTTTGTTAGGAAAGGTAGGACACATATTCCCGAGAAGTTAGAAACTGAACCCTAATTTTAGTTTGCTCAAAGTTGTAAGTTCTATTTCCTTGTTTTCTAGTTTCCAGTTTATAAGCATGGCCATTACTTTGGGGATGTTTTGAAAATTAAGGAAATATTACTAATAATGACATTTGAGCTTCAAAGAACTAGATGATCTATGGGTAAAGAATTGTAAAAGAGCATTTCTCAGTTAGAAAAAATGAATATGAATTAGTGCAGTTAGTTTAATAAAACTGGGAAACAAATGATTCTTTTTTCCAATTTCTTTGTTCTATAAACTTATTCTTTTTTGATAGATACTTCATAGCTGTGGAAGATGACAAAATTTTACCATTAAATTCAGCTGAAAGGTAAAGTTTATCTGTGGGTAATTCGTTGTTCATCAAGAGATTTAGCAAAAACTTTCCCACTGGGAAGGTTAAACTGCACAAATGACAGTGCTTTAACCTGAGCTTCTGTGTTTTTTTTTTTTATTATCCAGGAAACCTGGTGTGAAGCATGCACCATATATAAGGTAACCCAGCAATTCTCTTCTGTCCTGTGGGACCGTAGGAAAAGTTAGGAGGATTATAGATTTTGATATAGTAACTATAAAACATTTCATCTTTTTCAAGCATTGCAGGTGATGATCCTCCTGCAAGCTGTGTGTTTAGTCAAGTTATGAACATGGCAGCCTTCCTAGGTAAGAAGAGGGTAAAGAACGCTTTATGTGCTTTGGTACATTTCTTTTGTATTTTAAATTCTCCCAAACCCTTGTCAAAACAATGGGGGGCTTATTTGATCATTTAGTATCATACGATGTCAATATGCTGAAGCCAGCTCTTTGTCTTAAAGGTCTTTTTCTCTCGTACATCCATTTACGTTCACCCTGCTGTCCTTACATTTTCTCTTCCCTTTACCATCTTTATCATTTCAGATACTCTTGACTTGATCTATTTTGCTGCATAAAATAATATATTTCATGATATAAAATCCTGTATGAGAATGTAATATTGTATAATACATTTGCTTTGAAAAGAATGCTTTATTTATTCCTTCACTAGCAAAGATGAAAAAAATGCATGGGCTTTGTGATATTTGTTGATGTGTGTAGATACTGTCTTTAAACCTAAAGGTCAACATCAGCATTAGGATTACACTCTCTCCTGTGCCTATAGACATAGTAAGCTGGCAAATGGAGAAGTAAGCTTAAAAAGAAGAAACCTTTAGTACTCATATCTAGCCCCAGTTCCTTTTTCTTTGGGGCCCAAGACCCTCCTGTAATATTCTGTCCCTCTGTGAGTGCGTCCATGACCCTGCATAGTCCTCCAGAGATGGTGGGAACCAGCCATGCACTCTATCCTTTTTCTAATCTACCTTGTATACCATCTCCTCAGTGCCAGGCTTTCCCAGTGTCTCTCCAAGAGTCAACTGGCTATCACTGTCAGGATGATGTTAGGATGGACCAAAGACAGCCCATCCTTCCCACAATGGTGTTCTGGAAGTGGTTCTTTTGATGGTGAGACTTTCACTCCAAGTAAGAGGTAGTATTATTACTGAGGGAATATTCAACCTTTGTGGGACGTGTCTCCCAAAGAAGTAACCTGTTATTTCACCTCCACCCCTCAAAATTCCTACTCGCTCTTAATGTATTCTTTTTTAATATTTGCTATAAGAATGGGAAGACCTTTAGAAGTCAGTGGAAAATCAAGGGAGACAGGTGGTCCAACATGCAACACAGGCAGAAACTTAGCTGGTTCAGAAAGCCCAGAACATGAGAAACATGGAGAATGTTTCCCGTCAGGCTCATCAGGCCTCTCTTGAACCTGAAGCTTCAAAAAGAAGTACGCTGGGGAGCTTCTGTGCAGTTAGCAAGATTCTTCCCTGGAGCTAACCACCTTTCCATCAAAGCTCTCCCCAGCCATCCCCAAAGCGTATCCCATTTGCCAAAGCAGGAGGTGTCCGGAAAGCCTGGGCTGCTACACTACCACTAAGGAGAAAGTTAAATATACCCTGATGCTGGGGTTGCCGAGTCTTTAAAAAAGCTCTCCTCTTTATGCCCCTGGCAGTCAGGACTTCCACATCCTAGATATTCACAAGTATCAAGAAGGATGGCACCTGCAGTATCTGGTGCACCTGTGGGCACCAGGGCCAGTCCTGGGCAGTCAGGTTTGGTTGTCACTGCTTTCAGCCTCAGAGCTGCCAGGAGCTTTATACGTGCTCCTTTTTTCTACTCTTGACACCATTCTTCTGAAAAGACCTAATAAACTTATTCATCCCAAGACATAAATAGCTGCTAAGGAACATTTGCATTTGCATTTGCATTTGCATTTAACAGAGCACAAAGCCCCAAGAGTGAACCTTGAATGGTAGGGTCAGGGACCTTTCCTGGCCCCTCTGCCATTATAGCACGTAGGCCTGCAGGCTGCCATCTATTCGTATGCTCTTCCCACAGGGGGCAACAACGATTAATAGCCATCATTTCTATTCCAGGAACAATGCTAAGTGCTTTGCAAATACTACCTCATTTAAGCGTGATACTCAAGCCTGAAATATAAAAAAGCTGTCACCAGCTGTCTGTCCTCCACTGGGCTTTAAACAAACCAGTGAGCACATTGGAAGCCACATATTGTTTCCTTTGTATGCTTAAGACAAATTGATATTTCCCAGTGGTCTTTAAGTGTATACTTTTTTAAAACCCAGTTTGTATAGCTCACAAGTTTATCCAGTTATAAGGCTTATGATTGACTAATTACAAAAGCATTTCCAAAAGCAAAGCAATGAAAGCAAGATCCCCTCTTCCAGATGATATTTGTCATCATCTTATTCTCCAGTCCTTCCTGCTCCACCAAGAAGCAATTAAGCTTTTGCTAGCTCTTGCTCGAAGGTATTACAACATCCAGTGTTTATTCTGTATTATCTTTCATCATTTTGAGTGCCATCTGGTAGACATAAAATTGATTAAGATTATTGTTCAATGGGAGCAAACCAACAAGTATTTATTTATCAACTCTGAGAGTGAAAAAGAATCAGTTTACTAATGATTCCTCCTCTAAACTGTGGATACCTTCATCTCCCCAGGCCTGCCCTTGTTAGACTTCAGACTATTATTTTAGTCTACATAACTGACTTTAAGAAATAACCCACACCGCCTATTAGTCACTGCTTTTCAGCAGCCTTATAGATTATACTTTACAATCTAAAAATGAGTCAGTGTAGCATGTATTAAAATTAGCAAAGATATTTTATCTTTTTTGACAGACTAATCAAAGATTGAATGCTCAATTATTTTCTTTAGAGAATTAGTTGTGCTTTTTGTCTTGAAACTGCATTTCTTTCCACGGGGTAGGAGAGAAAAAGACCTAAGACAAATTTCTTCAAAGGAATATAATTTTCTGCCCTGGGGAGGTTGTGAGGATAAAGCTAATAGCTGAATGATGTCAGTCACCGAATAGCAGCCACTCTCCCTCCTTCAGGCAAAACATATTGACAGTTGTGTTCTACCGCAGTCATAAATAGGAATCATTGATGCATAAAGAGTCAAACAAAACAAAACAAAAATTTGGCCAGGTACCAGTTTAGAACTGCAAGGAAGGGACGTTATTTGAGTTTCGAACTTTAAAAACCCAGTCAGACTCAGAATTTAAAATGTAATTAGAAAAATCAGCCATTATTCTATTTGTGCTTTTTTTTTTTTTTTTTTTTTTTTTGGAGACGGAGTCTCTGTCACCCAGGCTGGAGTGCAATGGCACAATCTTGGCCCACCACAACTTCCGCTTCCCAGGTTCAAGCGATTCTCCTGCCTCAGCCTCCCGAGCAGCTGGGATTACAGGCATGTGCCACCACGCCTGGCTAATTTTTTGTATTTCTAGTAGAGATGGGGTTTCTCCATGTTGGTCAGGCTGGTCACGAACTCTTGACCTCAGGTGATCCACCAGCCTCGGCCTCCCAAAGTGCTGGGATTATAGGCATGAGCCACCGCGCCCGGCCTCTATTTGTGCTCTTTTGAAAATAGACAGGAAAATTAAGTAGGGGACACCTGTATGGCAAAGGACTGTTTCAAATACCAAAACCACAGAAGGATGAGTTTTTAAAATCTTTTCTGAAACTGTTAGTGAAATCTAAAAATTTTAATGAAACAAAAAAATATATCTATTGATCAGAACGTGAATGTGGTAAAAGTTAGCATATATAAAGATGGCTTTGAAATGGCCCGTAAGTCTTTTTCAGGAAGGTATAATTAAATCACTACTTGGTTGAAAATGGACTTCATAACAGTCCAAATCTGCCTCCATTCATACCTAAGTGTTAGTAAAACTGTTATAGGGGCAGAATCTTTTATTAGATCCATCATTCTAAAAATTCAGCTAGAATCTATTTTAAAAGGAAAGTATGCCTCCCCTGATCTGATTAATAATGGAGTTAAGAGGTAAAAAAGGGCAAAGTGTGGTGTTTAGAATGCAATTCTGGAAGCTAGGAGTGTTGGGTTAAATCCCTGTCTTCAAATAGGTTTCTGTTTCCTGCTGAATTTCATAATTTGTTCATGATAAGATGACTTACCATTCATATTACAAATAGGACAGCTAGCAACGCAGGGACCAGAAGATGTTGCATGTCCTGTGTTTACTGGACAGAAATAGATAATGAAGAGAGCAGCCAACAACTCTGTTCCCCTGGGCATAAAGGAACAAACTCTTTGACTGGGTGGGTCAACATGAAGAGCCATTTCAGGAACTGGGTTTAGGGCTTAGGTCAAGTTCCAGCACCATCCTATCCCACAAAATGACCAGCAGAGAGTTCTCAGAGTAATACTTTTCAGTGGTCATTTAAAAAAAAATTAGCCAGCCAGGCGCGGTGGCTCACTGTAGTCCCAGCACTTTGGGAGGCCAAGGCAGGCAGATCACAAGGTCAGTAGATAGAGACCATCCTGGCCAACATGGCGAAACTCCATCTGTACTAAAAATACAAAAACATTAGCTTGGCTTGGTGGCGTGCACCTGTAGTCCCAGCTGCTCAGGAGGCTGAGGCAGGAGAATCGCTTAAACCCAGGAGGCGGAGGTCGCAGTGAGCCAAGTTTGCGCCACTGCACTCCAGCCTGGCAACAGAGAGGGACTCTGTCTATATTATAGGCTCATGCCTATAATCCCAGCACTTTGGGAGGCTGAGGTGGGCAGATCACCTGAGGTCAGGAGTTCAAGACCAGCCTGACCAATATGGTGAAACCCTGTCTCTACTAAAAATACAAAAATTAGCTGGGTGTGGTGGCATGGGCCTGTAGTCCCAGCTACTTGGGAGGCTGAGGCAGGAGAACCGCTTGAACCCAGGAGGTGGAGGTTTCAGGGAGCTGAGATTATGTCACTGCACTCCAGCCTGAGCAACAGAGTAAGACTCTGTTTAAAAAAAAAAAAAAATTAAGTGTGCTGTCTTAGTATCTTGTTATTATGTCCTAACAGCCATACACAACTTATTAGAAGGATATCCTGTAGTGCCTGTGTTGAGTCTCTAGGCTTAATCTAATGGCTTCTTTAGCTGATGATCACTTCGTGATGGAGTGCTGTGTGTTGAATTACTCCTCTCCCCTACTTCCTCCTCCTACTCCTATCCTAAAATTAATAAGACGTTGTGCCTATTTTTCATCCTCTAGGATTGTTATTGTCATTGTTAAAGACTTCGGATATAACTCCTACCTAGGTCCCTCAAACCAATAGTTTGAGAAACTACTGTCAACTCAGGTATAATGTATTAATTTTCTGATCAATAGTCGGTACTAGCTGAAGCATATACTGAAAGATATATCAGGGCTGAACAATTTGAGATTTTTATAAATCATGATTTATCTCTATTTTGTTTCTAAAATCCAAATATTAATCAAGTTTTATACCACTCTTTGATCAGAAGTACTTAGAACTAAAAGTCAACTTATCAAGCTTAAAGCCATAGGGTTACACTATGAAATTTAACATACTCGAGAAATGCAAATTTATGGATAGATTTTCTTTATTAATGTCTACTAATAATGGCCTGTAATCAAAGTAAAACCTTTAGCAAATAATTACCAACTTAATTGCTGTACAAATAGGGTAATTCTTGAATTTCTAATTGTCTTTCCTGCTGAACCTTAACGTCAAAATAAATTATCTTAGTAGTAAGTTTGTTTCCTTACATGTAGATATAATTTACATTAATCGAAAGTGATTTTTCATCATTTATAGACTAACCTCTCCCAACTCTTCGTATAAATATGAAAATACCTCTGCACTAGGCAAAAAAAAGGTCATCCTTAGATTAGGGCCTTGAGTATGGACTATCCCAAGGTTACTATTAGAAGTCAGATTTGAAATCTAAGTAACTTCCCTCATTCTCTCTTCAAATTCTCAGATACCAATTTGCTTCAAAAGATAGAGTGGACATTTAAAATGAGTAATTAATATTATTTTCAGGAATTGAGTTTTCTTGATATACTAGGTACGATTTTTAGTACATACCAAATCCCTCAATCTGCTATGTTAAAATACAGATTTCATAAGTATGAATATTGTCACTTCTCTAATTTGGATTAACTATCTTTGTTGTTTGACAGTGAACACCTCCAAGTAGAATCGAAGGGAAGTGAGAGTAAAACCAGTAATAAAGGAACTTGTACATTTTCCATTATCTTTCTTCCCAGGAATGGTTTATGGCGCTGGCACCAGCAATTTTGTCTAGATGTGGTAACCTTGTCTTCTTCCCATTATGTTCCTGCCCTATCATTATTTTCCACACTGTTCTAAGCTAAAGGATGCCTGAGTCGGTCTGTCTTTATCCCATCTTATTTGTTGTGTGCCAAGCCTCTGCAGTGCTCTCCTAAGCCAGTCTGTCCTGTGCTGACCTTGTTTTTGAAAACTCTGAGAACAACACTATTCATAGTCCTATCATCCTTGCCTCACCCAAGTAACATACAGCCCTGTTGCCTCGAGTCCTCTCTGCCTCTCTGCTTTCCCCAGATTGAGTATAATAAAACATCTAAATAATCATAAGCATTGCATGGAAAGTTTCTTTGAAAAATTGTGGATCATTCCAGAGATGTAAAATGTGCTGTGGTGAAAAGTTTAATTTTGCACATTGCGGCTTTAGAATTCTGCCTCTTACCTAAGAAAATAGTGCAGCATAAAAAAATAATAATAATAGAATTCTGCCTCACAGTCTAGGTGTGTGATTTAATTTCTTCCATTTTAAGACTTTGCTTTATTCCTAGCCCTTGTGGTAGCTGTTCTGCGCTTCATACAACTGAAACCGAAGGTTTTAAACCCGTGGCTGAATATTAGTGGATTGGTGGCTCTGTGTCTGGCTTCCTTCGGAATGACCTTACTTGGTAATTTTCAGGTACTTGATTTGGCCTTTTTCACCTCCCTCTGACACTGGTAAGACCTTCACTTCTGAGACTATCAAAGCTATTGAGGTATAATCACCATATGGCCCATATAATTCTGCACAAACCTTTTTTTAAAAACTAGGACTCTTTTCCATGGCAACTCGGAGCTGTTCAGCTGCTTCAAGATGAAGCTGAACAGCTCCTTCCTAGCCATTGGCTGCCAGAAACTCATTAAAGTGGAAGATGAACGCAAACTTCGTACTTTTTATGAGAAGCATATGGCCACAGAAATTGCTGCTTATGCTCTGGGTGAAGAATGGAAGGGTTATGTGGTCCGAATCAGTGGTGGGAACAACAAACAAGGTTTCTTGTTTGTTGGTGGGAACAACAAGCAGGGTATCTTGACCCATGGCCATGCCCGCCTGCCTGTTACATTCCTGTTATATATAGACCAAGGAAAGCTGGAGAAAGAAAGAGAAAATTAGTTCGTGGTTGCACTGTGGATGCCAATCTGAGCATTCTCAACTTTGTTATTGTGAAAAAAAAGAGAGAAGGCTATACCTGGACTGACTGATACTAGGGTGCCTCGTCACCTGGGGCCTAAAAGAGCTAGCAGAATCCGCAAACTTTTCTTTTTTGAGACGGAGTCTCGCTCTGTCGCCCAGGTTTTAGCGCAGTGGCGAGATCTCAGCTTACTGCAACCTCCGCCTCCCGGGTTCAAGTAATTCTCCCGCCTCAGCCTCCTGAGTAGCTGGGACCACGGGGAATGCCACCACACCCAGCTAAATTTTTGTATTTTTAGTAGAGACGGAGTTTCACCTTGTTAGCCAGGATGGTCTTGATCTCCTGACCTCGCGATCTGCCCGCCTCGGCCTCCCAAGTTGCTGGGATTACAGGCCTGAGCCACCGCGCCTGGTCAAACTTTTCAGTGTCTCTAAAGAAGATGATGTCTGCCAGTATGTTGTAAGAAAGCCCTTAAACAAAGAAGGTAAGAAACCTAGGACCAAAGCACCCAAGATTCAGCATCTTGTTACTCCACGTGTCCTGCAGCACAAACAGCAGCCTATTGCTCTGAAGAAGCAGTGTACTAAGAAAAACAGGGAAGAGGCTGCAGAATATGCTAAACTTTCGGCCAAGAGAATGAAGGAGGCTAAAGAGAAGCGCAAGGAACAAGTTGTGAAGAGACGCAGACTTTCCTCTCTGCGAGCTTCTGCTTCTAAGTCTGAATCTAGTCAGGAAAAAGATTTTTTGAGTAACAAATAAGATCAGACTCACAAAAAAAAAAAAAAAAAAAATTAGGAACATTGGTTCCTAACATGCACAGGTTCTCCAGAGTTCAGCCTTTCTAGTCTCTCAGCCTGGTCTTCCTGAGTTCTCTTAAATGTGCGAGGGTGTTACATATGCCTATGAAATACAGTGTGGCTACTGAGAAAAGCAGCTACTAGAACAGCTGTATATTTTCTACAGAGGATTTCCAAGTGGTTTATACTTTTTTTTCGTAACAAATTGGATCCTAATGTACCTTTCTAGCAAACCAGTAGGATCATTACCTTTCTATAACTAAACACCAAACATCCTTACTGGATAAAAGGATGCTTTTCAGATTAGCAAGTTTATGTGGAAGTCAAGTTTGAAAGCCCAGAATTTCTCCAGAACACTTATGACTTGTATAAAGATATGCTACTCCTAACTCTTCTTCCTAGAAATTCAGAAGCCCAAGGTCACAACCTTTAAGCATAATTTTCCTTGCCAATACCATTACCCAGCTCTTGACAAGAATGACTTTATTTGTAAAATAGACAAGGAAACCTCTGTACTATGACAGTGGTTGACTGATTTCCCTCCCTCCCCACCAACCTCCAACCTATGCTATTTATATTACAGCTAGAAACTTCCTCCTTGAGGGCAAACACTGATCCTGACACTCTTCCCCCTGTCTGTTGAATGACATCGCAAATGGCATAGGCATTCAAGACCTCAGCATTCTATCGTTCATTTAGTAATGTTCCTAATGAAAATAGTAGTGGATTTTCTAAGGCCATTTCTTGTCCTACCCTCAGCACTGCTGATTCATTAAACCAGGATCACTCATTCCCAAAGACTTCCCCTGGCACATAGTAGCAACCCAGTAAATATTTTTTGCTTGGTGAGTTATAAATGGGCAATCCCACCAATTCCTCTAACTATTCTATCTCCCATCTATATCCAGCTAGGCAACCAGAAAGCTGCATTCTTAGAATATATTGGCTGAGGCAGTGATTACCAGGAGAATATTTGAGAGTTTATCCTGTTAAGATCCAAAATGTAAGGCATGGGGCATTTTAACTGAAATTTTGTTGGGAGTCTTTCCCTTACTTGCTGGCCTGTGCTGAGGGTACAGGCATGTTGTAAAGTGCTCAGTCACTATTGTTTCTCTCGACCAGGGCTTTGATGAGTTACTAAGAAGAACACATTTTGTTCTTTACAAAAGTCCTAGAAAAATCCCCAAGATTGGGTGGCTTTGGTGAACCACACATACTCAAGACCATGAATGTTGACACTACTTATGAAGAACGTTTGCCGGAATATAACAGAATACATGAGAAATGACAAATTAGTTTCCCATGGAGAAACCAGGTGGCTAGTATATGGGACGGCAGACAGACTTTTCAATCTATCCCTCATTATAATTTTTTTAAGTTTAACTATGTAACTATATTATCTTTTTTAAAGATTAATAATAAATTAATAGATTTATATAGCATGGAAAACCAATTTTCTAGAAGCAAAATTTGATTTCAGATATCATTATTTTAAATAATTTTGAAAATATGTCTTTTGAACTGTGAGAGAAAACATGGCTTCTTCCAAAAAAGAGGCAAAAATCCTACAGCCAAAAACAATAGAAAAAATTGTAAAAGGAAAGTAACATTGATTTGATGCAACCCTTATGAACAACAATGTCAAACAACAAAACATCTGAAGGCAATAGCAATTCAAAAAAATAATACTTTCACAATGGGTTTAAAAGCCATGTCTTTAACAATAGATTTTACTTTCTTATATGTGCAATTAAAAAATATATGTTGAAGAAAAGGAAAAGGAAGAAAATTTTTTAAAAATATGTAAATACATAGTGAACTTTTATCATACCACCGTACTCTAGCCTGGGCAACAAAGCAAGACCCCATCTCAAATACATATATATATATATATATATATATATATATATATACACAAACATATACGCTAGGTTTGATGAAGATGTGGATATGGATAGACTTTGTTGTTTTTTTTTTTTTTTTTTGGAGAAGTGGATAGTCTTGGTGAAGTATGATTGACTGAAAAAATTATGATCTAATGGTGATAATCTGAAAAATATATATATTTACATATGTATAGATGTATATATACACATGAAAATACAAAAAGAGTTTTAAGTGATGGATATATATTTTAAACATCAGTTGGTAATGATTTGGGGAGTTTACATCTATAACCGCCAATGGCAATAACCTAAATGGGAGTCCTCTATAAAAGCCTTGAGTATGAATCTTCAAGTACTGTTGTCCTACTATGGGTCTCTATATGTGGCAAAAGCTCATAGGTGACAGTTTTTCTTATTACTATGGGAAAATAAAACTAAAAAAATTCTCATTAACAATGAATTAGGGCCGGGTGTGTTGGCTCATGCCTGTAATCCCAGCACTTTGGGAGGCTGAGGCGGGTGGATCATCTGAGGTTGGGAGTTTGAGATCAGCCTGGTCAACATGGTGAAACCCCGTTTCTACTAAAATACAAAAATTAGCTGGGCATGGGGGCATATGCCTGTAATCCCAGCTACTTGGGAGGCTGAGACATGAGAATCGCTTGAACTCAGGAGTCTGAGGTTGCAGTGAGTGGAGATCGCACTACTGCACTCCAGCCTGGGTGACAGAGTGAGACTCTGTCTCAAACAAACAAACAACAACAACAACAACAAAAAACAATTATTTAGGCCAGGCACCATGGTGGCTCACGCCTGTAATCCCAGCACTTTGGGAGGCTGAGGCAGAAGAATCGCTTGAACCCAGGAAACAGAGATTGCAGTGAACTGAGTGCCACTGCACTCCAGCCTGGGCGACAGAGCACTCCGTCTCAAAAAAAAAAACCAAAAAAAAAAACAAGAATTAGTCACATTACATAGACGGGCCAGTTTTGCAAGCGTGAAGAACAGAGCTTAAAGGGTTTTAGTTGTCTGTGCCAATTAAATATTGACTTGCCTAGAATTGGCTGTCCTCCATCAGTAAATATATATTGGCCAGGATTGATGGCTCACGCCTGTAATCTCAGCACTTTGGGAGGCCGAGGCGGGAGGATTACTTGAGCTCAGAAGTTCATGACCAGTCTGGGCAACATAGGGAGACACCATCTCTATAAAAATAAAAAAAATAAAAAATTAGCGCTCTCCTCCTGCTGCCAAAGGTGCTGAAAGGAAAGAAGGCCAAAGTAAAGAAGGTGGCTCCGGCCCCTGCTGTCATGAAGAAGCAGGAGGCCAAGAAAGTGGTGAATCCCTGGTTTGAGAAAAGGCCTAAGAATTTTGGCATTGGACAGGACATCCAGCCCAAAAGTGACCTCACTCGCTTTGTGAAATTGCCCCGCTATATCAGGTTGCAGTGGCAGACAGCCATCCTCTATAAGCGGCTGCAATTAACCTCTGTAAGTGCTTTCTGCAATTAACCAGTTCACCCAGGCCCTGGATGCCAAGCAGCTACTCAGCTGCTTAAGCTAGCCCACAGGTACAGACCAGAGACAAAGCAAGAGAAGAAGCAGAAGCTGTTGGCCCAGGCTGAGAAGAAAGCTGCCTGCAAAGAGGACGTCCCCACTAAGAGACCACCTGCCCTTCGAGTAGGAGTTAACACTGTCACCACCTTGGTGGAAAACAAAAAGGCTCAGCTGGTGGTGATTGCACACGATGTGGATCCCATCGAGCTAGCTGTCTTCCTGCCTGCCCTGTGTCGTAAAATGGGGGTCTCTTGCTGCATTATCAAGAGGAAGGCAAGACTGGGACGTCTAGTCCACAGGAAGACCTGCACCACTGTTGTCTTCACACAGGTTAACTTGGAAGACAAAGGAGCTTTGGCTAAGCGGGTGGAAGCTATCAGGACCAATTACAAAAACAGATCCGATGAGATCCGCCATCACTGGGGAGGCAATGTCCTGGGTCCCAAGTCTGTGGCTCACATTGCTAAGCTCAAAAAGGCAAAGGCTAAAGAACTTGCCACCAAGCTGGGTTAAATATACACTGTTGAGTTTTCTGTACTTAAAAAACAATTAAAGTAATACAAATTTTCCTTCAAAACAAACAAATTAGCCAGGCATGGTGGCATGTACCTGTGGTCCCAGCTACTCCAGAGGCTGAGGTGGGAGGATCGCTTTGAGCCAGGGAGCCGTGATCACGCCACTGTATTTTAGCCTGGGAGACAGAGTAAAGACCCTGTCTCAAAACAAACAAACAAACCAAAACAAAAACAAACAAACAAAAAAAACCATGTCCAAATTCCTGGTCTAATTTTCTTATCCTGGAAAAGTTTGGGGTGTATGCTTGTAGAAACATTTCTTTTTCTGTAACTCTCCTTCTGTTTTCTTTTACTTTTTCTACACAAATGTTTTTAAGGGTTGGGGGTATTATTTATTTCCTTCATCCCCTCAGAGTTCAAACCATTTGAGAATAGAACGAAGAGCTAATCTTTCTGCAATCTATCATCCCATTATTGGGATATTTCTTTTCCTATCTTTTCCCCTCATATATTCATTCCTTCAACTTGCCTGTCTTCTTTGCTGAATGGGCCTTCATGTGTCATTATCCATTCATCCCTAAGCTCACAAATGATGAAGAAATCCATAACGTCGGAACTTCCTTGACCTTTGGATTTGGCACATTGACCTGCTGGATCCAGGCTGCGCTGACACTCAAGGTCAACATCAAGAATGAAGGACGGAGAGTTGGAATTCCACGGGTTATTCTGTCGGCATCTATCACTCTCTGTGTGGTCCTCTGTATCCTTTGAACGTGAAAAGCTTCTTTTGCCAGTAAGATGAAAACAAGTAAGTTGTCTCTGTAGAAGAACCCAGTGGGTTAGGATATTCTGCCAGATCTTCTCAGAATCTTAAGGCAAAGGTAAACAGGTATAAAAACAAAAACCCTCAGACCAATTTTTCATGCCAAAGGGGAGATGGAGAAATAAAAATAAAACAAGGTCTGCCCTCTCCAGATTGTTTCAATCTGCAGGAATGGTGTCATACATTCTCATTTCACTAATGATGTAAAAGTTCTTATTTGTGAAAATCAGAGAATGCACAGCCAAAAGAGAATTGCCATTTTTTTCCTCCAGCTTAAAAAAATGCATTTGTGACTTTATTAATGGCCCTGTTATTTCATTTCATTTATTAGCTCTGAAATGAATTTCAGAGGACCAATACATTTATATATTTCAGGAAAATAATGAAGCTTTTCTGGAAGACAAATTCAAGCACTAGATTAAGGCTGCATGTGTAGTTTTCCTCCAATATTTGAGGTTTTGGGGTGCTATTCATTTCCCTTCCTCCGCTCAGAGTTTGAACCAATTGAGAATAGATGCTAGGAGCCAGGTGGGGATGAAGAAATCAGCCTTTATCCTAGTAAACCTGGAAAGGAAAATGCTGCAGGTCTCCTCTCTCACACCTTGGAATTCAACTTAACCACCCAGTAACAAGCAGAGAAACCAGGGAAAGGCAGAGGAGAGCACCTCACTCCGCTTAGCCCCACACAGATCCCAGAGAGAGTCTAGCTTAGGATGGAGTGCAGTGGCCTCACCTACTGGTAGTGTGGCCCAATAGAAGCCTGCCAGTTCCCATCCCACCAATCAGATCAGTCACTCATTCCATGGAGTGGAGTAATCAGAAGTGTTCAACACTTGGGGAGGCAGAGGCAGGAAGATCACTTGAAGTCAGGAGCTCAAGATCCACCTGGACAACAAAGGGAGACCCTGTCTCTACAAAAAAAAAAAAAAAAAAAATCTAAAAATCCGCTGGGTGTTGTGGCGAGCACCTGTAATCCCAGCTACTGGGGAGGCTGAGGTGGGCTGGCTTGAGCCCAGGAGTTTAAGGCTGCAGCGAGCTAAGATCGACTCTGTCTCTAACAATAAATAAATAAATAATAAAGGCCTGGTGCCGTGGCTCATGCTGTAATCCTAGCACTTTGGGAGGCTGAGGCAGGAGGATTGCTTAAGCCCAGGAGTTCAAGACCAGCCTGGGCAAGATAGCAAAACCTGGTCTCTATAAAAATTTGTTTTAGAAAAATTAGCAGGGTGTGGTGGTGTGCACCTGTAGTCCAAGCTACTTGGGAGGCTTGCGGGGAGGATCACTTGATCCCAGGAATTTGAGGCTGCAGTGAGTTGTGATCATGCCACTGCAATCCAGCCTGGGTGACAGAGTGAGACCCTGACTCAAAAAATAAAATAAAATAAAAGGCAAAAATAAAAGAAGTGTTCACTCCAGTAAGGCCCTCCTCAGAAAACCAGAGAAAGGAATCAAGGTTCCTAAAGGGTAGATTGTACAGAAAATGCAATTACACATCTTCAGTCATAATAATCACCAATTTTTAGACAGCGTGCTAGGCATTATTCTAAGTACTTTAAATGTATCAACTCTTTTTATCCTCACTTCACATGTAAGAACAGTGAATCATGGAGAAGTTTAATTTGCGCAAGATCACACAGATAATGCGTGGTGGATCGAGATTTAAACTCAGGCTCAGCTCTTCACTCTTAACCACTTCAGACCCCACCTTAGAGAAAGTAGCTTTAGAATGAAACAATGGCATTCGCAGCAACCTGGTTGGAATTGGAGACCATTATTCTAAGTGAAGTAACTCAGGAATGAAAAACCAAACATCCTGTGTTCTCACTCATAAGTGGGAGCTAAGCTGTGAGGACACAAAGGCATAAGAATGACACAGTGGACTTTGGGGACTCAGGGGAAAGGATGGGAGGGGGATGAGGGATAAAAGACTACAAATTGGGTGCACTATACACTGCTTGGGTGGTGGGTGCACCAAAATCCCAGAAATCATCACTAAAGAACTTATTCATGCAACCAAACACCACCTGTTCCCCAAAATCCTATTGAAATATAAATAAATAAATAAATATAAATAAAAAGTTCAAAATAGCTAGAAAGAAATAAAGTATATCAATTCAAAGAAAGAGAGAGAAAGTAGCTTTAAAATATGAATAGAAGCAGACCCTAAGATGAGGGGGGGAAAGAATAAAATATGAAAACACACACAGTTCAGAGCCCATTCTCTAGTTAGTGGAGTATTTGGACTATTTATTTTTTCTTCATTCACAAATTCCTGTTCCACCATTTTGCTGATTTTCCAAAGTTCTACAGTCACATTAGATAGAGAACATTTAAGGACTTAAGTTCAAGCCAAAAAACTTGGTTCTTGCTAGCAACCTAATAAATACTTTATGAACAAAAAGATCAAAACTCTGCCAATATAAGATAAAAGGAGATATGCTTTCTCCATTAATTTAAGTAATAAGTTAATATTGCTTTGGCAATATTTTGCATCCTTGTTCAAAAGAGTGTGCAGACTTTAAATCACTCCGAGATGTTTTTTGTGATTTAAGACAGGGTCTCATTCTGTTGCCTAGGCTGGAGTGCAGGGGCATGATATTGGCTCACTGCAACCTCCACCTCCTGGGTTCAAGCCATCCTCCCATCTCAGCCTAGAGAGTAGCTGGGATTACAGGCACACACCAAAACACCCGGCTAATTTTTGTTGTTTTAATAGAGACGTGGTTTTGCCATGTTGCCCAGGCTGGTCTCGAACTACTGGGCTCAAGTGATACACACTCCTCGGCCTCCCAAAGTGTTGGGATTACAGGCATGAGCCACCTTGTCCAGCCTATCCCAAGTTTTGAGCTTTCACCAAATGATTCTGATTCATGCTCTTTCTGAACACGTGGAATCTTTTTTTTTTCTTTGGTTCTCAGGTGAATGGATGAAGGCCCAGTTAGCAAAGCAAAGTTTGGCTGAAGTAATTTCACATTCTTGCTCTCTGAAAATTTCCCGATTTCAGGTCTAATTTCAGAAGATAGAACTAATTCTAAGGAGACATTTCTGATCTTTCTAAGTAAATGCATCTAGTTCCTCAGACACTTGGCCTTTCACTAAAGCTGCTATGAACTTTTTACCCTTCTTCCCAGCTCCTCCTTCCATTTATTCTGTTGTGTATATACAGATACAGATACACACAACACACACACATACACACACTCCATATATATATCCAGGCATAAGAGTCTCATTTGTTTTTCTTTTTTTAATGATGGGGCCTTGCCGTCACCCTAGCTAGAGAGCAGTGGTGCAATTGTAGCTCACTGCAGCCTCAAACTCCTGGGCTCAAGTGATCTTCCCACCTCAGCATTCCAAAGCACTGGGATTACAGGCATGAGCTACCCCACCTGGCCTCATCTGTTTATCATACAAGTTTAGACGTGATACGAGGAATGAAACTGGTCTATACAGTATTGTCTGAAAGACAATAGTGAAAATTAGAAGAGACAGGCCAGCCACTCAGACACGGTTAGTAGCACTGCAGAGCCAAACACAACTTACATGTCGGCAGTTAGTAATTTGATATGTTCAAAATTATTTCTGCAGATATAACGATAACTATGAATTCATAGTCATTTGCAGTGCTTTCTTCTTTTTTTTTTTTTTTTTTTTTTTTTTTTAAGATGGAGTCTCGCTCTGTCCACCAGCCTGGAGTGCAGTGGCCGGTCTTGGCTCACCATTTGCAGTGATTTTTTTTTAAAATAGCTTAATTTTTCTGGCAAACTAATTACTTTGGAAGTGTAATCCTTTTCCTAATCTCCCAGTTTTGTAAGCAGCTACAGAGTACAGCTATTGAATACATGGCGCAGGAGTTAGAGTGCTTGTTTGAGCCCAGCTCAGCCAATTAATACCTGTGTGACCTCAGGCAAGTTACTTACCCATTTGGTCTCAGTTTCCCTATTTTTAAACAAACTGACAATTATTTGGATAAGAGAGTATTTAAGGGCAAATAGAACATGTAAAAATGAGAAACAAAAACAATGATAATAGGATTGTTGTGAGGATTAAGTGATACTATCCATGAAAGCACCTAAAAGCATGTCTACCACCAAATATGAGCCCAATAATGTTAACTTATTATTCATATAGATTTTCGTGTTCAACAAGCTCTAGCAGGCTACCAGTTTTTCTAGTGATGAGGAAAGCCAGACTTTTCCTATAATCTGTCTCTGCCCTGAAAAGATTCCAGTTTTAATGTGGCTGATGAGGGTATTTTCCTTGACTGCTTCTCCCCAGACTTCATCCTCATGGCCCAAAGCATCCACATGTATGCAGCCAGGGTCCAGTGGGGCCTGGTCATGTGCTTCCTGTCTTATTTTGGCACCTTTGCCGTGGAGTTCCGGCATTACCGCTATGAGATTGTTTGCTCTGAGTACCAGGAGAATTTCCTAAGCTTCTCAGAAAGCCTGTCAGAAGCTTCTGAATATCAGACTGACCAGGTGTAAACCATCAGTTTTTCCTTGCTGGTGAGGTGGGTGTGACAGTGGGGGAGGGGCCAGTAGGACACACTCACAGGACTTGACATAGAACCTCATTTCACACACACACACACACACACATTCATGGCCACATTTGCCAAATGAGCTTTTCAGGGCGAGTTATTTCTTTAATGAAAAAGCACAAGCCCTTATGTGTCGAAATACACGCTGTTACACTGAAAATATATGCACGACAGAGCAAGAAGCTTGTGCATGATCACTTCTTATCCGTCCCCTTCCCAGCACTCCCTCCTCTTCCCATTCTCTCCACATGTCTCAAGCACCCTACCGAGTAGGGCAGGCCAAATGTTCCTTGGGAGTAATGCCAACTCCCGACGTTGCCTTCAGGTCCAAAGGGCTTGGAACCAGCTCGTGAGGAAGTTCTGAATCTGGCACTAATATTCTTGAGTGGATAATAGTGTATCATAGAATAGGACGGAAATTGTATTGAGATGTGACCCTGTGTCGCCTGTGGAAAGGCATAGTGAGAAGAACTTTCCCACGAAAGCCCCCTTCATCGTTGTTCAGTGGTCGGCTGTGTGGATCCCAGGAGAGACATATGCCACAGACTGTGAGAGCAAAGCCCGCCGCTGTGATCTGGACTTGATGCACTGTGACTGAGAATGATTTCCAAATGTGAATATGTGTAGGGACGTGGTCTATCAGGCCTGGAACAAGATGGGGGCAGTGAAGGTATGGTTTAGTGTTTGCTTTCATAGTATGCCATGTACAATGTTTTATATTTCATAGTTTCTTTTAAGTAACTACCATGAGTCTCTCTAAGCCTCATGGACAAAGATGTAGACCAAATGCAAGAGCTGAGCTTGCTTTGGGTTCAACCATGATCAAAGAAAAACTGAGGTCACCTGCAGGCTTACGTGGGAAGCTAAGAAAATATCACAGAAAAATGGAAAGAAATATGGATGTGCAGAGGTAATAAAAAGAGCTGCTGCTGGACATTTATCAAAGATAGGCACCTTACAGTATCTTGTTGCAAGTCCAAATCAGGGGAGACTTTGTTAATATGTATCTTTTGCTCAAATTTAGTAGGGTTTTTTTTTTTTTTGGATTAAGGGCTTTTCAAATTTGGAATTTGTAGAAGCCAATTAAAAGAATACCCTTCCTAAAAACCAAATTGACACAGCTGGCCCCCCTGCTAGCCAACCCGCAGTTCCCAGTTCCCACCTGCTGAGAGTTCAGAACTCAGACCGTAGGTGTGGGCTTATGAGACTGTGCTTCATGAAGAAAAGCAGAATTCCAAATTCAAACTGTTGGAGTGAGCCAAGTGGACAGACCCTCCATGAGTGCACTTTCTTCCAAGAAATCCCCAGATTTACCCCATAGAGGTCTGGGATTACCTGGAATATAATATGAAAAACATTTTTTAGGCTGGGTGTGGGGCTCACACCTGTAATCCCAGCACTTTGGGAGGCTGAGGCGGGCGGATCACCTGAGGTTGGGAGCTCGAGACCAGCCTGACCAATGTGAAGAAACCCCGTCTCTACTAAAAAAAATACAAAATTAGCCTGGTGTGGTGGCGCATGCCTGTAATCCCGGCTACTCAGGAGGCGGAGGCAGGAGAATCACTTGAACCCGGGAGGCAGGTTGCGGTGAGACGAGATCACGCCATTGCACTCCAGCCTGGGCAAAAAGAGCTAAAAACTCCATCTCAAAAAAAAAAGAAAAAAAGAAAAACGTTTTTTAATTCAACCCAAAGTCTGAATTTCTTGAGGAAAAGGTCAATGTCTTTTCATCTCTGTATTGTTCCCCACCTCTTAACACAGTGCCTGGCACATACTAGGTGCTCAATAAATGTCTGTTGAATAGAATTATTAATAATTTAAGAGTAGGAAAAAGGAGTGTCAGAGAGAGACTCAAAGATGAGTGAGAGAGCATGGAAGATGGCTGTTTCATGTGAGACAGGAATGGAAGAAGTTATGAATAGGGATCAGATGGGGGAGTGAGAATCCCTGTAAGTAAAATGTGAGGAAAAGAACAAGCTGAGAACAAGATTCTCCTGTCAAAAAGGCGTCTTACTGTAAATAGTCCAAGGTGACATTTGTTAGTTTTGAATACTGCTTTTGGGTTTCTTTTTTTCATTTTTATATTTTAAAATTTTTATCAAAGAACAAAGACTTATGTAGTTTTCTTTTATTCTACACAATCCAAATTAAACAGCTTTTGGTGATGCAATTGTACACTTTCTTAAGAATATATCTAATACCACATTTTAGCAGAACCAAGCAATGACTGACATTATTCATTGGGATCTGGCCACTAAATAAAATTCTTTTATGCATAATTGTTATTTCTTTGTCTCTTACACCACCATTTCTTCTCTAATATTAAAACATCTGAAAACCCAGTCAGATATTATGCTAAAAATGAACTTAAGTGTTATATTGGTAGGGTGTTTTCCAACACCATCAACCAATTCTCTGATTCTTCCGGACACCAATTGAGTATCTACAATTCAATTGTGACACTAACTACCCGGAGTTAGTGTCAGGTTCCACAGGTTTAAGGGCTGAGTCCCACAAGACTGCCTCACTTCCATTGCCAGTCACAGATACTGGGTCCACCGGTGACCCTCACTTCTGTCCATATTGGCTACAAAGTCGAAGGGGCTCCCACACACTGCCCGCTTAAGGTTCAAATAATTTGCTAGAACAGCTCACAGAACTCTGGAAAATCCTTACATTTGCAGGTTTATGATGAAGGCTACAACTTAGGAAGAGCCAAATTGAAAAGAAGCATAGGGCAAGGCATGGGGAGGTGCATGGAGCTCCACGCCCACCCAGAGCGCATCATCCTCCCAGCACCTCGCTGTGTTCATCTACCTGGGAGCTGTCCAAATCGTACCATTCAAGAGTTTATTTTATGGAGCTGGATCTCCAGATGCCCTCTCTCCCCAAAGCTCAAAGGTCAGGAGGTGTTTCTGCTGACCAGCCTGAGCCTGAGTCTATCCAGGGGCCCCACCCTAAGTAACCTCATTAGCATAAACTCAAGTGTGATCAAAAGGGGCTCATTATGTAGAACAAAAGACACCTCTCTCAGTAAACGTCAACGGTTTTAGAAGTTCTGTGCAGGAACTGGGGACAAAGACCAAATATAGCCATGCACCCATAGCAATGTTTCAGTCAAAAGAACACTGAATATAAGACAGTGATCCCATAAGGTGGCTCACGCCTGTAATACTAGCACTTTGGGAGACCGAGGCAGGCAGATCACCTGAGGTCACAAGTTCAAGACCAGCCTGGTCAACATGGTGAAACCCTGTCTCTACTAAAACATACAAAAATCAGCCGGGCGTGGTGGTACATGCCTGTGATCCCAGCTACTTGGGAGGCTGAGGCAGGAGAATTGCTTGAACCCAGGAGGCGGAGGTTGCGGTGAACCAGGATCACACTACTACATCACTCCAGCCTGGGAGAAAGAGCGAGACTCCATTCCAAAAAAAAAAAAAAAAACAAAAAAAAGCGAACTTACAATGAGGTCAAGTTTTATCATCTATGTTATTTGCTGGATTTTCTCTATCCCTGGTGTGGAAAAGTAAAATTTCGTATCCTGAAATGTATAATCTACTGGTTATCAATGGAGACTGGATACCACTGTTTATATTATTTTTGTATTTAGGCATTGCGTCCTCAGGATAGTTTAGGTTTTGCTGTCCCAACATAAAACTAATAAAACTAAAGTTTATTTCTCATACTGGATGTCTATCCAAGTTCAGCAGGGGATTCTGCTCATTGTAACAACTCCGACCATGGCTGATAGACGTTTCCTCTCGGCACATGCTTCCACAGTTGCTCACTGCCAAGGAAATGTGGCAGACTGCTCCCTGGCTCTCAGAGCTCCTGCCAGGAATGGCAAACTTTCCTTAGCTTACATTTCACTGGCAAAGGAAACCGAGTGGCCTTCTCTAAGCATGGCACTCCTACCATGTGCCCACAATGGGAGATGCGTTTGTGAACAGCCCAGTGACCGCCACAGGATCCTCAACTTCTTTAGTCATTGTCATTCCTTTGAGGCGCAAGTTCCAAAGAATCATTAGAGAAGCCATCATAATTCAGAAAGAGAGGAAAGAGACCATCTGTGGGGTTGGCACTATTTGATTCTCAGTGCTTTTCTTACCGTACCTAGATCGATAAGCAACACTTCACAATTTGATCACCCCCCTCGCCACCTCTCTGCTTAAAACATTTTTACTTGGCTCTCAGAATATTGTGCCCTTTTAATTTGCCTCCTGCTTCTCTCTCCACCCAGCTTCCTCTGCTGGGCCACATTCTCCCTGCCATCCCAACACTGGAGTACCCCATGGCTCCGTCCTGGCAACTCGTCTTTCCTACCCACACTCACTCTCTGAGTGACCTTGTCCGGTATTCCAGTTTTAAATATTGCCATGGGCTGACATTTCCCAGGTGCTCCAGGCCAGACCTCTATCCTCAATACCATAGATCTGTGTCTTCAACTACCCTTATAGCATCTTCACTTGAAAGGCTTCCCAAGTTTAACACATTCTGATCTAATCTCTTTAAATGCATTCCTTCCACCCAAGTTAGAGACAACCCGTCTTTCAGTTGCTCACACTGAAATTTTGGAGCAATCCTCATCTCTTCTCTCTCGCACACCCCAAATCCTTTCTGCTCTACCTTTAAAGTATACTAGAATTCATCCACTGCCACTATCTAGTCCAAACCACTGCTATCTCTCCTGGATTTTTATAATAACTTATAAAAATTAGTCTCTCTTCTTCCATCATTTGCTAAGGTGTGTCCTTAATACAGAAGTCAAAATGATCTCTCTAAAAGCTAAATTAGGCCTGACGTGGCTCATGCCTGTAATCCCAGCACTTTGGGAGGCCCAGGAGGGAGGATCACTTGAGCCCAGAAGTTCAAGACCAGCCTGGGCAACATGGTGATACCCTGACTCTACAAGAAATTAGCCAGGCATGGTGGCACACACCTGTAGTCCCAGCTACCCAGGAGGCTGAGGAGGGAAGATCACCTGAGCCTGGGAGGTCAAGGCTGCAGGGGGCCCTGAGATTGTGCCACTGCACTGTAGCCTGGGCAACAGAGTGAGACCCTGTCTTAAAAAAAAAAAAAAAAAAAAGCTTACATCGTCATCTCTCTTCTGCTTAAAACCCTTCAGCACTCATCACTCAGCACTCAGAACTCCTTGTACTCAGACTAAAAACCCCAATCATTAAAATGCTTTACAAGGCCTAACAAGGTCTGCCTTTACACCTTTCCTTCTCTCTGTTCGTCCCTCTGCCTCCTTGTGTTCTTCCAACAGTCAGACATGCTGTGGCCACAGGCCTTATATGGTCTGGCTGTGTTTCCACCCAAATCTCATCTTGAACTGTAGTTCCCATAACTCCCATGTGTCATGGGAGGGACCCAGTGGGAGGTAATTGAATCATGGTGTTACTGGGGGGTCCTTGTTCTTAAAGCTCCCAAGATGGTGGCAGGCCACTTCCAAGATGGCAGCAAGCCTCTTGTTCTCTGACCTGGGGTTCTTGGCCTCACGGATTCCAAGGAATGGAATCTTGGGCCATGCAATGAGTGTTATAGCTCTCTTCAGTTTGATTAGGATGAACCCCAGGCACTTAGCTGACGCAGGAACAATGGTGAGCCTCTAGCCTGATTGGGAGCAGCAGTGGGCGCTGCCTCACTGGATCAGAAGTGCAGTGGACATCCTGCCGGATCCGGAGGGGTGGAAGTCAGCGGCGGCATCTGCGACGACAGCAATCAGCAGTGGTGGATGGCGAGCGAAAGCTCAGTTCGAACCGGAACAAACACAGACCTGAGAGTGTACAGTTGCAAGATTTAATAGAGTGAAAACAGAGCTCCCATACAACGGGAGGGGACCCAAAGAGGGTTGCCTTTGCTGGCTTAAATGCCTGGGTTTATATCCCGATCATTGTCCCTCCCGCTGTGCTCTCAGGAGATAGATGATTGGCTATTTCTTTACCTCCTGTTTTAGCCTAGTTAGCAGTTTAGTGAGCTCTCTTTACTACCTGATTGGTCTGGTGTGAGCTAAGTTGCAAGCCCCGTGTTTAAAGGTGGATGCTGTCACCTTCCCAGCTAGGCTTATGGATTCTTAGTTGGCCTAGGAAATCCAACTAGTCCCGTCTCTCAGTTCCCCCTCTCATCAGGAAAACCTAAGTGCTGTTGGGGAGGTCTGTCGATGACCGCTCTAACTGCTTCCTGCTGAATTGGGGCACAGTAGGAGTTGTGCAGTTGAGATTTCCTCCGGAGGGGTACCTTGGATGTCATCAACATTGGAGCATGGGCTGGCAGGCCGGTCTAAGGGTCCGCAGTAGATTTTAGTCATGGACTGCCTCTGGGGCTCCATTTGAAGAATCATTTGTAGCTTTACAGCTTCAATTCTGGAAGAGACAAACTTAACAAGCAGGTTAAAGATGCAGGGTCCAAAGAGAAGTAACAATATTATAACTGCTAGAGGTCCTAAGAAAGGAAGAATCCAGGACACCCATTGGCTGAGGAGGTCCCAGGGTCTGGTGTTTTGAAGCTCCTCTGCTCTACGTTGTATTCGATCTCGAATTTCTTTAACTTTCTCGGTGACGATTCCGGATTGATTAACATAATAAGAGCATTCTTCCCCTAAAAATAAACAGGTTTCCCCTCTTTCGGCAGTTAGCAAGTCTAAAACTCTTTGATTTTGAAGGACTACTGCTGCTAGGAAGTTAAGTTGATCTTGCAAGGTGACTGGTGAGTTGGCGACCCATTCCATGTCACCATTTAGTTCTTGAGATAGTTTATAGTAGAACTGAGTAGAGGTTGTGATACCACCAATGCCAGTACCTAGTCTGCCTAGCACTCCTGCTCCGGTAACAAAAGGAAGAATGGGTACTCTTTTGGTGCAGGGCTTAGGTACAACATAATTGTATAAATCTTGTTCTGTGTAGATGGTCATGGGGGCACTAAGAATGAGAGGAAGCACATAGATTCTGAAGAGCCATTTAAACAATGATAGGCTGAGGTACTACAGACAAAAAATATTCCTGAGGGTAGGCAGACCATTTGTGTGGGAGGAGTTACCCACCTGATGCATTGGGAGTTGGTTGTGTCTATAGAATTGCTAACATTTACACAGGTGAGGTTTGGGGTATGGATTATCTCCAGATTGGAAACAAGAGGTCCTTAACAATCTTTTGGAGTCCTTGTTGGGCCTCGGGTCTAAGGGGGTACTGCCTTTGGTAGGGAAAGGAGGTGGAATCCTTTAGTTTAACTTGAACAGGATGGGCATTCTTTGCTCATCCATATTGTCCTTCTGTTGCCCAGACTTTAGGATTAATTCCTTCCTCAAGCAGGGGACAACAAACAGGTGTTCCTTCTCCTACGTTCAGGTGTATAATGGCCCCTGCTTTTGCTAGAATGTCTCTCCCTAACAAGGGAGTGGGGCTTTCAGGCATAATTAGAAAGGCATGTGAAAAGAGTAAAGGTCTTCAGTCACAACTTAGTGGCTGGGGGAAGTATCTAGTGACTGGCCGTCCTAGGACCCCTCGGATAGTGACAGATCTGGAGGACAGTTGTCCGGGACAGGAGAGTAAAACTGAGAAGGCTGTGCCAGTGTCCAGGAGACAGTTAACTTCCTGGCCCTCAATGGTCAAGCATACCTGGGGCTCTGAGAGGGTGATGGCATGGGCTGGCACTTGCCCTGGGCACCCTCAGTCCTGCTGCTGGATCATCTGGTTAGTGGCTTCTGACTCAGAGGACCTTCGTCCCCTGGGGCAGTGGACCTTCCAGTGATTCCCCTGACATAAGGGGCATGGACGAGGGGGCGGCTTATTTCTATTTGGACAATCTCTTTTAAAGTGTCCTTGTAGAGCGCACTGGAAGCAAGCCTTATTAGGCATTCGATTTGCCCAGCTTTTCCCTTTTCCAGAGGCTCCAAAGTCCGCTTGCCTGAGGGCCATGACTAAAGCGGTGGCCTTTTTTTAATCTCGTTTACCACGTTCCACCTGCTCCTCCTGATTCTATTATAAAAAACCGAGGTTGCCAAGTTCAATAGGGTTTCTAAGTTTTGCTCTGGGCCTAAGGCGGACTTTTGAAGTTTTTTTCTAATGTCTGCAGCTGGCTGAGTGACAAACTTATCCTTTAAGATTAGTTGGCCTTCAATAGAGACAGGTGACAGAGAGGTATGCTTTCTCAATGCCTCCCTTAGTCTCTCCAGAAAGGCAGTAGGATTTTCTTCCTTTCCCTGTGTTATAGTGGACATCATTGAATAATTCATAGGCTTCTTCCTAGTTTTCCTTAGTCCTTCTAGCACGCAAGTTAGTAAATGTCTGCGGCACCAATCTCCATGTTCTGATTCTGTGTCCCAGTGAGGGTCTACACTGGGAACTGCCTGCTGGCCTGTGGGGAATCGTTCTCTTTCCTCTGTTGCTATCCTATCATTGACCTGACTGAGATACCAGAGATCACCAAACTCTCGGGCTGCAGTTTATGGCGGCACTTCTCTCATTTGGGGTTAGTGTCTGATTTAGCAGTAACATCATATCTCTCCATGTCAGATCAAAGGATTGTCCTAACCCTTGTAAAACATCAATATAGCCATCAGGGTTATCTGAGAATTTACCTAGGTCTATTTTAAAGTCTGAGAGAGAAAAAGGTACATGCACTCTGGCTGGGCCAAATTCTCCTCCTCCCACCGCTTGGAGGGGGCATAATCAGGGAATATTGGCACTCTTTGGTTCATTGTTTGCCCCTTTGTCTATCTCCTTTTGGATAGTTTGGGTTGAAGGGGGGGTCCTTATTAGTTGAGGAAGGAGTGGGGGGGCGGGGGGATGCCGGGGTAAGGAGGTAGATAGGGAGGTAGACTCTGAGGGCTTCCTGTAGGGCATAAATCACACTTTTTACATAATTGCGAGTTGTCTCTTAATGAAAAGAAAGTTTGTACATATGGCACTTCACTCCATTTGCCTTCTTTTCTACAAAAGAGGTCTAGCTGTAAGATGGTGTTATAATTTATACTTCCCTGAGGAGGCCAGGTTTCTCTCCCTTGAAGAGGATATCATGGCCAGGCGGTACTGCAGAAGAATATAAGTCACTTCTTTCTTAGCATCTGAGGGTCAAATTGGTCCCAATTCTCCAGAATACATCTTAGGGGTGTTTTTGCCTTAGGGGGAACATTTCCCATCTGAAAAAATAACACAGGGATGCCAGCACCCCTAGTTATTTTCCGATGAGCATTAGTCCTAGAGCGTCCTCTATGGTCCTAATGCTTATTCCTTTCCAGGGTGCGTAACCACCCATGGACCTCTGCTTATCAGATTAGTTACGCTCACCAACGTAGCAGTCCTGCACCTGTTTTCCCGCCTTTCTTGACCACAAAGAAAGGGCTCTGGGCTGCTGGATTCTAGTGGTCCTTTACCAGTGTGCCCAACATTGCCTTTGCGCTCAGAGGTGAGTTCTAGAGCTGGGCTGGGTTCCTGAGTATTTCCTAACAACCCAGTTCCCCCATCAAGATGCATTCCCACAAACAACAGTTCTTATGCAAATTCATTTCAGAGAGGGTGTGGATAATCTTTTGAGTCAGGATTGAGACAGAGTTTTTTTATTCTGTAAGTACTTTAAGGCTTGGCTGAGTGCAAACAGCTCCCACGTTTGAGCAGACCCAATTATTAGGCAATTTTCCTAACTCTGCTTCTACAAGAGTTTCCCTCAATTACTGAATACCCATTGTGTTTTTTTTCTCAATCACCTGGGAGGAACCATCTATCTTCCTGTCCTAAAGGGGGTTCCTCCTAGGTCTGGTTGGACCTTTGTATGGTAATTAAGATTTAAATCCCCTGTTAGGAAATCTGCTGGGTTAAGGGAATTTTCAGTGGTTAATGTTAAATTATCTTTTTTTAAACAGAATAGCTCTATACTTTAAGATTGTTGAGTTAGTAAGCTACCCTTTTTGCTTTTTTTTTTACTTAGGATAGTTCTGAACTGTGAGGTGTGCTCACAATGAGGTTTCCTCTAAAGGCTAATTTTCTACTTTCTTTTGTTAGCAAAGAAGTTGCTACTACTGGGATCTCTTTCTTTCTCTTTGACTTTCTCTCTCTCTCTCTCTCTGAATCTCTCTTTTTTTCTCTCTCTCTCCTCTCTGTCTCTCTCTCTCTCCTTCCCTTTTCTTTGTAGATAGATTTTGGGAACACAGCGGAAGGATGTTCGCTCGTTGCCCCCAACCACCATAGGAATATGCGCCTCCCTTTTAATTTACTCAATTCGCCTTCATCCTGATCTATTATGTTGTCGTAGACCCAGTTCCAGTTGTTAAAGTACTGGGTCATCAGTTCTAAGGCCCTGGCCAAGGAACCAAGCCTTAGAGATTGTATTGCAGGGGGGTAAGCTGGGTAGAAATTGGGGGAGGAGAGCATCTTACACAATGGGAGAGCAATCCTCCTAGCCATTTACAAACTTGGGGCCCTAGCAAGGGTGGTGGGGAACGGGTCTCACATAACTGCCCATGTTGAGAGCTATATACCTAAATTGGGAGGGGCACCAGGGACAAGACTCCCTGGGTTCATAGCCTAGATGCCTAAGGACACAGCATCGAGCTTCCCTAGATCCCTTTGGAGATACAACTCACTCTAATGCTTGGGAGAGGAAGTGAAAGTCTGAAGCATTAGTACCTAGGAAGCAGGGATTGGAGGAAGTAGATTCAGAGGTAAGGAGAATTTTGGGGCTACACTTTCAAGAAAGTGGTGGTCAGGACCCAGGAGGTATGGGTCAGAAGGAAAGGTAGGTGCGCACGCATGGATGACTGTTGAGTAAAGACTTCTGGCCGGGCGCGGTGGCTCACGCCTGTAATCCCAGCACTTTGGGAGGCCGAGGCGGGCGGATCACGAGGTCAGGAGATCGAGACCATCCTGACTAACACGGTGAAACCCCGTCTCTACTAAAAATACAAAAAATTAGCCGGGCGTGGTAGCAGGCGCCTGTAGTCCCAGCTACTCGGGAGGCTGAGGCAGGAGAATGGCGTGAACCCGGGAGGCGGAGCTTGCAGTGAGCCGAGATCGCGCCACTGCACTCCAGCCTGGGCGACAGAGCGAGACTCCGTCTCAAAAAAAAAAAAAAAAAAAAAAAAAAAAAAAAAGACTTCTGGCTGCGCCATGATCTTAACTGGGAGTTCGGGACAACAGCTTTCTGCCTCTACTTGGCCCTCGGCTTCCCCAGGAAAATTCAAAGTGGAAGCTGGTTCCAGGTAGACCAATGCCCCCAACCCAGAAGGGTTGGGGGTTGTTAGAAAGCCCTTTCCCAGACAGCCTCACACCGGAGTCTTAAGTCCGGCAGCCAGGCTAATCGTTTTTTAACTCGCCAACAGGTGCCCGGTATTTTCCTCTGATTCTAAGGAAGGATAGAACAGAATAGCAAGCAAAAGTGGTCTCATATTACTCACCACTTTGGAAATTCCCATCTGGGTTGCCAATATGTTACTGGGGGGTCCTTGTTCTTAGAGCTCCCAAGATGGCGGCGGGCCACTTCCAAGATGGCGGCAAGCCTCTTGTTCTCTGACCTGAGGTTCTTGGCCTCAGATTCCAAGGAATGGAATCTTGGGCCATGTAGTGAGGGTTGTAGCTCTATTCAGCTTGATTAGGACAAACCCCAGGCACTTAGCCTGGTCAGGAACAACGGCGAGCCTCTAGCCCGATTGGGAGCAGCAATGGGCCCCGCCTCACTGGATCTGAAGTGCAGCAGATACCCTGCTGGATCCGGAGGGGTGGAAGTCAGTGGTGGTGTCTGCAACAACAGCAATCAGCAGTGGTAGATGGCGAGCGAAAGCTCAGTTCGAACCAGAACAAACACGGACCAGAGAGTATGCAGTTGTAAGATTTAATAGAATGAAAACAGAGCTCCCATACAACAGGAGGGGACCCAAAGGGGGTTGCCTTTGCCGGCTCAAATGCCTGGGTTTATATCCCAATCATTGTCCCTCCCCCTGTGCTCTCAGGCAATAGATGATTGGCTATTTCTTTACCTCCTGTTTTAGCCTAATTAGCATTTTAGTGAGCTCTCTTTACTACCTGATTGGTCAGGTGTGAGCTAAGTTGCAAGCCCCGTGTTTAAAGGCGGATGTGGTCACCTTCCCAGCTAGGCTTATGGATTCTTAGTCGGCCTAGGAAATCCAGCTAGTCCTGTCTCTCAGTGGGGGTGGTTACTCTCATGCTGTTCTCATGATAGTGAGTTCTCACAAGATCTGATAGTTTTATAAAGGGCTTTTCCCCACCTTCGCTCTGCACTTCTCCTTGCTGCTACCATGTGAAGAAGGATGTATTTGCTTCCCCTTCTGCCATGATTGTAAGTTTCCTGAGGCCTTCCCTGCCGTGTGGAACTGTGAGTCAATTAAACCTATTTCCATTATAAATTAGCCAGTCTCAGGCAATTCTTTATAGCAGTGTGAGAAGGAACTAATACAGGGCCTTTGCACTTGCTGTGACCTCTGCCCTGGGAAATCTTCCCCTATATATTTAAATCTCTCACCTTCTTCACCTACTCAAATGTTACATTCTCACTGACACCCCTGACCTCTCTGAAATTCATTCCCTGCAAGGCCACCTCTGTACACTCTATCCCTCTTTCCGTTTTATTTTGCTGTATAGCATTTTTTTTTTAAACAGGATCTTGCTCACCCAGGCTGGAGTGCAGTGGCACCATCGTAGCTCACTGCAGCCTTGATCTCCTGGGTACAGCATTTTTTAAACATAGCCTGTAATCAGTTAAAATTCTAACGTGCATAATACTGACACATTTTATTATTTTGTTATTATCTGACTCTCTCTACTGCTAAAATATAAACTCCAGGAGGACAGAGATTTGTGTCTGCCGTATATGCAGCCAGTACTTAGAACCAGTGCTTGGCATATAGGTAAGTACTTACTATTTCTAAAATAAATGACTGGTAGCTGCCAACCCCCAACCCCAGATGTTTTTTAAATATTTGGTCTATTATATATGAGCTGCTCAGTCACTCAAGGCATTTAAGAAACAGTGCTATTGTAATCAATTTCGGAGGATACAATTGTCCTCATGCTAGTCCCATCAAACAGCTTTGTAGGTCTTGAGGAAGTTCTCGATTACAGTTTTTGTTTTTTTGTGTGTTTTTTTTTGAGACGGAGTCTTGCTCTGTTGCCCAGGCTGGAGGGCAGTGGCACAATCTCGGCTCACTACAAGCTCTGCTTCCCAGACTCACGCCATTCTCCTGCCTCAGCCTCCCGAGTAGCTGGGACTACAGGCGCCTGCCACCGCACCCGGGTAATTTTTGTATTTTTAGTAGAGACGGGGTTTCACCATGTTAGCCAGGATGGTCTCGATCTCTTGACCTCATGATCCACCCGCCTCGGCCTCCCAAAGTGCTGGGATTACAGGCGTGAGCCACCGCGCCCGGCCGATTATAGTTATTTTTTATGATGTCTGCAGCAACTAGTACATGTTAAATACCCAAATTCTAAATAAGACTTGAAATATCCTTATGCAAACCCTGTGTTAGTACCTGATTGCCTCTCATGTAGCTTCAAAATAAAATATTAAGGATAACTAAGTCCTTTCCTGAGAAAAATTAAATGTGTTTCATGTTTTTAAGACAAGAAGCTGCTGGGCACAGAGTAGCTCCTGCCTGTAATGCCAGCACTTTGGGAGGCCAAGGCAGGCGGATCATTCGAGCCCAGGAATTTGAGACCAGCCTGGGCAACATGGCAAAACCCCCTCTCTATTAAAATACAAAAAAAATTAGCTGGGTATGGTGGTGCCCACCTGTAGTCCCAGCTGCTTGGGAAGCTGAGGCAGGAGGATCGCTTGAGCCTGGGAGGTCAAGGTTGCAGTGAGCCAAGATTGTGCCACTGCACTCCAGCCTGGGTGAAAAAGTGAGACCCTGTCTCAAAAAATAAATAAATAAATAAAATAAGAAGCTGAGCTGACTCTGTAGGTCATACTCAGATTTTAAAATTTAACTCATCAAAAACTCTCCTCACAGACCAGGCACGGTGGCTCATGCCTGTAATCCCAGCACTTTGAAAGGCTGAGGTGGGTGGATCACTTGAGGTCACGAGTTCAAGACCAGCCTGGCCAACATGGTGAAACCTTATCTCTACTAAAAATATAAAAATTAGCCAGGCATGGTGGTGCACGCTTGTAATCCCAACTACGTGGGAGGCTGAGGCAGGAGAATTGCTTCAGGTGGAGGTTGTGGTGAGCCGAGGTCGTGCCACTGTGCTCCAGCCTGGGCGACAGAGCGAGACTCCATCACAACAACAACAACAACAACAACAGCAGCAGCAGCAGCAACAAGAACAACTCCACCCACAAATGCTATCTGGGTCAGAATAAAGAAAAGATGTAAGGTATTCAATGAATATTTCTGTATAAAGCAGAACTAAGAGATTTATTTACCAGTCAATATTAGAATAACATCTAAGATGACCAGATTTTTGTAAACTATATTTAGATTTGTAGCCAGAGATAATTAAGAGCACTGGGGGGAAAGGGCTTAGACTAAACACAGCAACAAGTGGATTCAGTGACTAGAAGTACTCCAGATAGAGACCAGCTGGTGATTTGCTTTTTGCATTGTCCTAGGAGAGAGCTTTCTCAAAATACATTTGACTTCCTTATCGTATCCATAAGCATTATCATTACTTGCCCTTGGAAGGCTTTAAGCAGTACCCTTTTCTAGTATAAAGCCTGAAAGCACTATGCTTATTATCAGCAGTCTTTTTCTATTGTGGCATTTTATTTTGTAGGAATAACTACTGGAGCTTCAAGCACAGGCTGCTAGGAATGGGAAGAAAACGAATTTGAGAGGCACTGTGCAAAAGACAACAGGTGTGACTTGCTGCCTGTGGAGGAGGGTGAAGGGGAAGAAAGCGTCAAAGACATTCTGAAGGTTCAAGCCTGTATGACTGGGAAGATGGGGACACTTGCAAAATGTAGGAAGATAAGAGATGCCACCACTTGGAAGGAGACGGGGGAATGATGAGACAATCTCGATGTTCCTAACTGCATACCCCAGCAGAGGCCTTTTAAAAGCCTCGCTGTGCTGAAACGGATGAAAAATCCTGTCCACTGCTTAGTACTATTTGATTCACGTTGGCTGCCAAACAGATTATCACAAAATGTAGTGGCATAAAGCCACCATTTATTATACTCACAGATTCTGTGGGTCAGGAATTCAGACAGGGCACAGCAGGGACAGCTTTTCTCTGAAGTCTGGGGTCTCTACTAGAGAGCTTGAAGGCTGGACGCTGGAAGCATCTGAAGACCAGCCTATTCTTGTGTCTGGAGGTCAAGGCTGGCTGTCAGCTTGAGGCCTTAGTTTTTCTCCATATGGGTGAATCTGGGCTTCTCACAGTGTGGTAGCTGACTTCCCCAGAGCAATTGTCTAACCCCAGCTCTTGAAAAAAGTGAGTCAGCTAGAAGCTGTATCATAACCTAGCTTAGAAAGTTACAAACCATGGCCTCTGTTGTCCTTGTTTGGTTGGAGCAGTCGTAAGTCCCACCCAGTCTCATAGAATGGAACATAGGCCCCACCTCTTGGTGAGAGGACTGCAAAAGTCACATTGTAAGAAAAGCATGTAGGGGTGACATCCATGAACAGGGAAGAATAAGGAACATCAAAAGTCCCTCCAAAAAAGCAATAAATAAACTGGCAAAAACTGCCAGAATCAACTTTTTTAGAATTCTAGAACCTAAGCAAAAGCTTACAGCAACCAGGAGGACTTAATCAAGAAAGACTAACTACTTTTGCAAAAATTATGAGTGAGGGAAATCTAACATAACTGACTCCATCTTCCTTCTAACCTCACAAGCTGTCTTTGCTCATTCCAGGCTAACTATAGGAGGAATTTTGTATTTACTTTTATTTTTATTTTTTGAGACAGGGTTTCACTCTGTCACCCAGGCTGGAGTGCAGTGACACACTCATGGCTCACTGCAGCTTCGACCTCCCAACCTCAAGCAATCCTACTGTCTCAGCCTCCTGAGTAGCTGGGACTACAGGCACATAACCACCATGCCCAGCTAATTTTTGTTTTGTTTTCTTTTGTTTTGATAGATGGGGTTTCATCATATTACCCAGGCTGGTCTTGAACTCCTGGTCTTGAGTGATCCTCCCACCTTGGCCTCCCAAAGTGCTGGGATTACAGGTGTGAGCCACCGTGCCTGGCCTACGAATTTATAGTTTAATGTTAAAACAAAAATGAAAATAGTTCCTTCTCATAACTAACCCCCTCCTTGCTCAGGACCAAAACTGCTTTTGTAAAACTAACCAAAGGCCTCAAGCTTAGAAATGTGATAGGGCCCTGAATTCTGCTAAGATGTAGGCACAAACTCTAATCAGCCATTGTTTCTTCTGCTAAGATGTAGGCAGAGTTAAACTCTAACCAGTCATTGTTTTATAACTTGACTGTTTAAAACTACTTGGCCCGGCACGGTGGCTCATGCCTATAATCCCAGCACTTTGGGAAGCTGAGGTGGGTGGATCACGAGGTCAGGAGTTCAAAACCAGCCTGGCCAAGATGGTGAAACCCCATCTCTACTAAAAATACAAAAAAATTAGCCGGGTGTGGTTGTGGGTGCCTGTAATCCCAGCTACTCGGGAGGCTGAGGCAGAGAATTGCTTGAACCTGGGAGGTGAAGGTTGCAGTGAGCCGAGATGGCACCACAGCACTCCAGCCTGGGCTATAGAGTGAGACTCCATCTAAAAAAAAAAAAAAAACTCTTTACTACTCAGAAGTCACATAGCCACTGGTCACAAGATTTGTAACTTCCCCCAAATGCCCCTGTGGATAACATCACTGTTATAAAACCTAAGACTGATGTTTGAGATATTTTTCAGATTTGAATTTCGTATGGACCAACTGGCACCACCCATTAAAAAAAGTTGCACCCAGATATCAACTCAGCAAAAGAATAGCAACCCCCTATGATTTCATCCTTGACCCAACCCATCAGCATTACTCATTCCCTAGCCTCCTGCCCACCAAACTATCCTTGAAAAACCCTAGTCCCCGAATTCTCAGGGAGGTGGATTTGAGAATTATTTCCCGTCCATCTGCTTGGTGGGCCCTGTGATAATGAAATTATTTGCTGCAACACTCTTGCTGCTCTTAGTGCATTAGCTTTTCTGGGCAGTGGGCAAGAAGAACCCAGCTGGGCAATTACAAAACTACCTGAATCTCAGCAAAAGCTCAGGAAGCTCTGTGGTGATTTAAGTTACCCTCCTTCTAACTCCCACTCCTGTGCTCAGTGATGATGGCCTTGAAGGTAAGAGCCCAGGTTTCTAGCACAGGTAAGAATGCCAGAGGGAGCAGAATAATGGATCTCATTCACAAAGAATTGTGGTCATTCGTTTTGAGCTGTGCGTTTGTCTGCTTGGGCTGCTGTAACAAAATGCTACAGACTGGGTGGCTTAAACGACAGAAATGTATTCTCTTACAGTTCTGGAAGCTCAAAGTCCAAGATCAAGGTTCTGGCAGATTTGGCTTTTAGTGAAGGCTCCTCCTGGCTTGTAGATGCCACCTTCTCAGTGTGTCCTCACATGGTGGAGAGTTCTCTGGTGTCTCCTCCTCCTTTTATAAGGCCACCAATCCATTGGATTAGGGCCCACCCTTATTAACTCATTTAATCTTCATTGCCTCCCAAAGGCCTTATCTCCAAATATAGTCACATTGGGGCTTAGCTAGGGCCTCAATATATGAATTTGTGGGAACACGATTAAGTCCATAGCAACGTATCTGGTGGCTCCTTAGCTGAATGGGCTTACTATTATCTTGCCTAACTTGGAACTCTGCCAGTTCTGAGGCAGCTACCAGGGTCCTTTGATGAAAAGTTAAAGGCAAATGTATTAATCACAACCCTGGAACAATGGAAAACAGCTGGAGCCAACAGCAGTCTAACCAAAACGCTTGACAGAAAAGGCTAGTGATGCTTTGGTGAACAAGGGCTTTGAAAAGCTCTGACATTCTTGGTGTTATGGGTTGAAATATGTATCCCCCCCACCCCAAAGATATGCTGCATCCTAATTCCCAGTACATCAGAGTGCAACCTTATTTGGAAATAGAATCACTGCAGATGTAGTTAGTTGAGATCATACTGGTTTAGGGTAGGCCCTTCCTCTAATATGACTGGTGTGCTCATAAAATAGCCTTGTGAAGACATAGACACACAGGAAAAAATGCCATGTGAAGACAGAAGTAGAAATTGGAGTCACGCATTTATGACCCAAGCAATGGCCTGGCTTGTCAGCTGTCACCAGAAGCTAGGTGGAATGGAACAGATTCTCGCTTAGTGCCTCCATAAGGCACCAACTCTGCCAACACCTTGATTTCAGACTTCTAGCATCTAGAACTTTGGGAGGCTAAGTTTCTTTTGCTTTAAGCCACTCAATTTGCAGTACCTTGCAGCCCTAGGAAACTAATACAATAGTTAAATATTAAAAGACAGTATAAATGTATTTGTTGTTTGCTACTCCTTTTTCTCCTATCTGATTTAAAATACAACTGCATAAAGCAATAGTAATAAATCTATGTTGATGGGTACACAATATATACAGATGTAATTTGTGACAATAACAACTTAAATGGTGGAGAATGGAGTTATGTGGAGCAAAGTTTTGTATACTATTCAAACTAAAGTGGTAGTGGCCAGGCACAGTGGCTCCCGCCTGTAATCCCAGCTACTAGGGAGGCTGAGGCACAAGAACGGCCTGAACCCGGGAGGGGGAGGCTGCAGTGAGCTGAGATCATGCCACTGTGCTCCAGCCTGGGGGACAGAGTGAGACTCCATCTTAAAACAAACAAACAAAAACTAAGGTGGTATTAATCAGAACTAGAATGTTATAAATATATGTTAATTGTACCCTCAGGGGAAATCACTAAAAAAAAATTCAAAAATATATATTAAAAGAGATGACAATGCTGGGCATGGTAGCTCACGCCTGTAATCCCAGCACTTCGGGAGGCCAAGGCAGGCAGATTACCTGAGGTCAGGAGTTCGAGACCAGCCTGGCCAACATGGCAAAACCCCATCTCCACTAAAATTACAAAAATTAGTCAGGTGTGGTGGTGCACACCTGTAGCCCTAGCTACTCGTGAGGTTGAAGCACGAGAATCGCCTGAACCTGGGAGGTGGAGGTTGCAGTGAGCTGAGATTGCACCACTGCGCTCCAGCCTGGGTGACAGAGCGAGACTCCGTCTCAAAAAAAAAAAAAAAAAAAAAAAAAAAAAAAATACATATATATATATATAGAAATCAAATAGCAAAATGGCAGAATTAAGTGCTTGTCAGTAATTATATGTCAATGGCTTAAACTCTTCAATTAAAAGGCAGAGGCTGGCATAATGAATTGAAAACATAATCCATTACATACTACCTATAAAAGACACATTTTGGATTCAGGACAGAAATAAATAGAAAGAGGATGGTAAAAGAAATTCGGCCGGGCTGTAATCCTAACACTTTGGGAGACCAAGGCAGGCAGATAGCTTGAGCCCAGGAGTTTGAGACCAGCCTGGGCAATAGAGTGAGACCTCATCTCTACAAAAATACAAAAATTAGCTAGGTGTGAGGTCGCACACCTGTGGTCCCAGCTACTCAGGAGGCTAAGGTGGGAGGATCGCTTGAGCCTGGGAGATTGAGGCAGTAAGCTATGATCTTGCCACTGCACTCCAGCCTGGGGCCCCGGAGTGACACCCTGACTCAAAAAAAAAAAAAAAAGATATTCCATGTAAATAGAGGGTGAAGTGGCTACAGTAATACCAGACAAAATAGACTTTAAGACAAAAACTGTTACAAGAGACAAAGAAGGACATTATAATGTTAAAGAAGCTAGCAAGAAGCTATAACAATTATAAACATATACACACCTTACAACAGGGCAGCAAAATAGATGAAGCTAAAGAGAATTGAAGAAAAGAATAGACAATTTAACAAAAGAGAGGGAGCATTCAATACTTCACATTCAATAATAGAGCAACTGGACAGAATGTAAACAAGGAAACAGAAGATTCAAACAACACTACAAACCAACTAGACCTAATAGACATACACGCAGAACACTCCACCCAATAACAGCAGAATTTAAATTCTTCTCCAGTGCACAAAGAATATTCTCCAGGATAGACTATAAGTTAGGCCATGAAAAGTCTTGTTAAATTTTAAAAGATCAAAATCATACAAAGTATGTTCTCTAAGTATAGGGGAATGATATTAGAAATCAGTAACAGAAGGACATTTGGAAAATTCACAATATGTGGAAATTAAACACTTAAACAACCAATGGGTGAAGGAAGAAATCACAAAGGAAATTAGAAAATATATTGAGACACATGAAAACAAAAACACAACATACCTCAACCTATGGGATACAGTGAAAATAATGCTCGGAGGGAAACTCAGAGCTGTAAATGCCTACATTAAAAAAAAAAAAAAAGAAAATGGCCGGACACAGTCGCTCACGCCTGGAATCCCAGCACTTTGGGAGGCCGAGGCGAGCTGATCACCTGAGGTGAGGAGTTCAAGACCAGCCTGGCCAATATGGCAAAACCCTGTCTCTACTAAAAATACAAAAACTAGCCAGGCGTGGTGACAGGTGCCTGTAGTTCCAGCTACTTGGGAGGCTGAGGCAGGAGAATCGCTTGAACCCAGGAGGCGGAGGTTGCAGTGAGCTGAGATTGCACTACTGCACTCCAGCCTGGGCAACAGAGCGAGACTCCATCTCAAAAAAAAAAAGAAAAAAAAAACTCACAAAGCAATTACATAAGTTTCCACATTAAGGAACTAGAAAAAGAAATGCAAATTAAACCCAAAGCAAGCAGAAGGAAATACGATTAGAGTGGAAATAAACAAAATAGAGAATCAACAAAACCAAATGTTCTTCTTTAAAAAGATCAACAAAATGGATAAATCTTTAGCTAGACCTCATAGGCCCTCCTGACCTCCTCAACTTAATCTTACTTCTGTTCCCACCACTCCACTTAGACTGCAGGGCCACTGCTATTCTCAACTGAATTCTTAGCAGCAATTGATAAATTTGAATAGTTCCTTCTTTAATGGGCTCCCCTGCCACTCTCCTGGTTTTCCTTCCTCAGTGCCCAATACTTTCCCATCTCCTTTGCTGGTTTCTTTGCTTGGCTTGACCTCTAGTGTTGGAGCCTACGGGCTGTTTAGGCTCTCTTCTCTATCAACAGACTCTTCCTAAGCAACCCCATCCCATGGCTTTTAATAGCATCTCTATGCCAGTGAACTCTCAAATCTGATCTCCAGCCAGGCCAGCATTCTGAACTCTAGACTTATATCCAACTGCTCTTCGGTCATGTTGACATCAGGATCTACATTGGCTTTACATTATTATCAGCAGCACTGCTATTTTTCCAGTAGTATCATCTATCCAGTTGCTTAAGCTAAAAATGTAAGAGTTACCCTTTCAAATCCAATCAATCAATAAGTGGTCACTGTCATGTCTAAAACCTATTCTGAATCTTTCCACTTCTATTTCTGCTTTTACCACCCTAAGGCAAGCCACCACCATCCCTTACCTTCATTACTACAACAGCCTTCTCAGACCCAGTAGATTGACTCTCTCAAGTGCCAATTTTACCCCCTAATTGGAGAAGAGATGGAAGTGTTCTGTTTGGAGAGGTTGCAGCAATGGGGCCTGGCATTCCAGAGTCTGGCCAGCGTCGTGGGCATGAGCTACAGTGGCAATGGTAGCAGGCTTCCTGAGCTAACCACTGTGAGGTGTCCTCTAACTCCACAGTCCAGTGGTAGTTGCCCTGACTCTTCTCCCAGTTCTTCCACTGATGTTGTATACACCTAACTCCTTGTGATTTTTGCCTGCAGCACTCAACCCTGATATACTTAACTCACCTTCCTGCATGCAGTCATGCCCACTTATAAACCATTCTCCATTCCATACAGAATTCCTTAAATATGTAAACCACTCAGGTTATCTTCTGCTCAAAGTCCTCCAGGGGCTTTTTACCATACTTAGAATACAATTCAAACTTCTTACTGGAGTACAAAGCACTATCATCTGGCTTCAGCCCACTTCTCTGATGGTATCCAGCCACTGGGCTCTCAATTCCTGAAAAAGGCCAAGCTTTGCCCTAGATCTGTGCTATGCTGTTCCATCTGCATGGAACACCAGTTCTCCTAGTTTCCTACATGTCTTCCATGTCATTTAGATTAGATGTCACCTTCTCATCACCCCTCCTGTAAAGTTATTCTACCCTGTGTTCTCTGCAGAGCGCTTACTAGTATCTAATTTTTTCTTGTCTTAGTCACCATTGTTTCTCTTCTCGAAAAATGTATGCACAATGGGAGTAGAGAGGAACTTTGTCCCCTCATAGCAGATCTGGGATGCAAGGTAAATGCTTAATAAATATTTAAGGAATAAATTTGGGTTGAATTTGTAAGGTAGAAATTTTACTTCTGTCAGTTACTCCAAGTGTTTTAGTAAAAACTCCACGTTATTCTTAAATATTAGGTTGAGGATAATATCACTTTGCCATCTGGGCACAGGTGGTAGGTTAACAAACTTTTGGAATATATTATACTCAACTTTGTACTCGTGGGAATAAAAAAAGCCCTGAAAACAATCCCTTTTTAACACTGCCGCTGGAAAAAGGGGCTAAAAATCACTAATTTTTTATTGAGGAAAAGGAATATTAGATAGTTGGATTTCATTCAGGATTACTGCCATTTTTTCCAAACTACTCCAACTCTTGCAACATCAAGCTTTTGGCTTGTAAGGATAAACAAAATATAGTTTTCTCTCTCTTAGCTCCATCTGCTGTATTTGGCGGGCGACGGGGCGGGGGTTGGGGGAGGGGGGGAGGAGGGGTGGAGCCTCACACTTCATATCAAGTCTGGAGAAACAGCACCATCTGCTGGGGAAAGGCTGCCGTGCATCTGCCCTGGCAATAAGCCAGTGGCTTTCAACCTTTCCTTGTGCAACTACACATTTGACATTCTGCGTAGCAACTAAAACCCGCTTTCCAGACCAAAAAGAAGTCCTGCTACTCCAGAAATGTTGATAAGATTAGAGAATCTTCTGTTAAGGGCTTCTCTTCTAAAAAACCAACCTGGGCTTTGACCCAAGATTAGAAATCAGCGCCACTGTAGGAAAGAGAACAACAGAGGTACATCTGGATTAATAAACAGGAATAAAAAGAGCCACAACTTTAAGACGCTTTTGTCCTCCATATTCTCTGCAAACAAGAGGCTGAGGCCTTTGTCCTCTTTTTGGAAGTTCCAGAGGTTTTTTGCCTTCCTTCCCCTCATAAGGACTATGAATTCATCTGACTTCATCTTCTAGCTCATTATCCACATTAAAAAAAGTTTTTTAATGATGCATAACTGTGCATATTTATGGGGTACACTGTGGTGTTTCAATACATGTATACATTGTGTATCACTGCTTACATTCTTAGATAGGTATTTTTCCTCTCTTGCCAATCTACTTTATCTTTCAAATTCTTCCTACGACCTTTCTCCATCATTTGTGAATGGTTTTCCTAGGATCTAAAAACGATTCCATTCAACTAGTTTTTCCCTTACTTTGCAAAATAAATCTGATACTTCAATTTTCTCTTAATTCCTGAAATCTATTGATTTTCTGTCCTCCTTACTCAGTGTACATGGGTAGTAAAATGCCTCTCCACCTCAATCCTTTGCTGGCTAGATGCTGTGTGCCTTCCTTTTTATTCAATTCCTTTCTAATCTAGATCCTAGTGCCTAATCTTCTCATTTCTTCATTTTCCAACTACTCCTTAAATAACATTAAGATATACCCCTTTCTGCCATCTGCCTATGAGCTTTCCAAAAAAGGTATTAAGTTCATCCTTTTATTACTATTTGTGGTTTTATCATCATTTACAAATTATTCCCATTTCTAAGATGTACCTAAACTCATTTCCTTTCTTTTTTATTCATATATTTTCATAGACCCTAGATTTCTTAATTGGCTACTAGATCAAAATTATCAACATAAAATCTTTTATATCCCCTGTCCTCTCATAGTTCTAAGACTTCTTTTTCCTTATTCAAAGCATTTCTAAAATTGCTCCTCCAGGATTCGTGAGTTTTTCTTGATTAGTTAGGAGAGTAACTCCCTCCTTCAAGCATTACCTTAGAGACCTCAAAGTTAAGATTCTCAAAAATATAAGGAACTCCACTCATATCCTGAATGCTTACTATCCAAATGGAATAGTAACCTTATATGTATACATAACTCAAATAATAACCATGAATTGCCACCGGCACTCCATTAAAACACACACATGATACACGATTAAGATAAGAGCTAAATATTCTTGTTTTTCAGTTTCTCTTTTGCTATGGCGGCATGTGGATAGAGTTCAGGAACCTATATAAAACTGAGTGAAGAAAAAATGCTTTTATTAATCACAACATGAAATTAACATGACATCGTATTAGAATTAAACCAGGATAAATACTGCTGTTATAAAATTTACATTTCTCACATCCATTCCAGAGGAAAATCTTACATATTAGGGCTCATCTTAATGTTATGGACTGATTTCAGTAAAACTTTTTAAATAGTAAATAGCAATTAACGTATTCTCAAACTGTGCTAAGTAGTTAGAAAGGCAACTATAAAATCTATAATGATAACACGTGGCAGGATTAGAACTGTTCTGTTAAACATTAAGAACCACATCTCTGTTTTAGATGTTACCTCAGTGCACCTTTTTCACTGGTAAGGCAACTGCTTGCTGTGGGTGCCACAATGATTACCAAGTTTCTTCTTAAGTAAAAGACACTTGTTTGATCAAGACTCAAGTGAGTTTTCTTTCCCAATTTTGTTCTTTTGAAGCAGAAGGAAATACCTTGGTCTTTGATATATATAAGGAGGCAAATATGAAATACAGCTGTTATAATCTTCTAAATCACAAGGGCAATGAATTATTCATTTTCTTTGAAAATATTCAGTCTTTGAAATATTTCATTTTTAAAATAACAAGGCTTCTGAATAATTTCTCAAAACTAGCTTTCCATTTTAGTACACGATTTGATAAACATAGCACATTAGATAGGTATTTAGCAATTTCTTCTACCAACTACACTTTGCCCTCACTAAGGGTTAGAGTATGATTTGAAACAATTTCTACATATAAAGCATCTTTAAATAAGTTTTGTGTTCACTGAACTGAGACTTCTTTCACTTATGTACCTATGGAAGTTAATCTGAGCATACACATATATACATACTTGCATACATATGTGTACATATGTTTTTTAAGTAAGTTACTTTTACCATTAGAATAAACCTAGACACTACAGGGACAACTCTGGGGAACAGGGCGGTCTGCCTTAACAACCCTTCTCTAGGTTGAGGAAGGCAGGTATAGTTCACTGAAGGATGTGATGAGGCTGTAGTAAGTCTTCTCATCATCTGTTAATCCTGCGTTGCCTGGTCTCACCACCACAGCTACGTGCACATCTGCTTCCTCAGCAGCACTGGCCTCTGTGAAAAATCAAAGGATGTGTGTGTGTCAGAAACACCAAAAAATGATGTCTGAGATTTGCAGCAAAGTCAGCAGGGGGATGTGGGGATGGAAGAAATGAATTTGGCCCTGATTTGATGACTGTTGAAGCTAAAAGATGGGCACCCTGGGGTTGACTATATTATTATCTCTTTTATGTATGTTTTAATTTTTCCATGATAAAATTTTAAAAAATACGTAACTGTACTTGACAGAAGAGAATGGCAGTGTATCCTACACTTCTGAGCTTTATTAAGTACTTATGAATGCAGAAGGATGGAGCCATGTTCTGTCCTACACCTTTCCTCCACTTCCTCCCATCAGCCCATACCGAGAACTGAGCTGTTTCCCAAAGGACAAGCTGTTGGTAACACGAATTAAAATGATATGGGGCTGGGCACGGTGGACCCAGGAGTTCACTTGAACGCCAGACTTGAGTCCAAGAGTTCGAGACCAGCCTGGGCAACATGGTGAAACTCTATCTCTACAAAACAATACAAAAATTAGCCGGGCGTGGTGGCGTGTGCCTGTAGTCCCAGCTACTCAAGAGTGCTGAGGTGGGAGGATTGCTTAAGCCCAGGAGGTCAAGGCTGCAGCAAGCCGAGATCGCACTACTGCACTCCAGCCTGGGTGACAGAGTGAGACCCTGTATCAAAAAAATAAAAACACAAAGAAGATAATGGGACAAATGGAATCCTATGGTTTAATCAGCCCAAGATATCTGCTCTTACCTCCAGACCCTAAACATGTCATACTCCCAGCCTAGAATGGAGCAAGTTAGAGTGGGAAATGGGATACAGGCCTGTGATAAGAGAGATGGCGCTTACTAGGACAGATAGAACAAAACTGGTGAGAAATCTGGAATATATATATATAAATCCCGTGGAATTTAGATTTGGTGTAAGAGTAATCACCATTAGTTTCTCAGCCTTTGGAGAAGAGTCACAGCACCTGAACAGATTAACTGAAGGGCAGTCGTGCTGAGAGAGTTAAGTTCCCAGGAGACACACTGGGGCTGAGCTGTTTCTTCCACCCACCCACCTCCTCAAGTGCCTGCTTTCTGTTCTGCCTGTGAAAGGGCCTGTCACTTTCCCAGAGCAAACAGTACTCAAGACTCCCCTCTCTGTGTGGGAATGTCTTCTTCAGACCACCTCTGCAGATGCCATTGGAGAAAGGCAGCTATCTTCCACTCACCCCTACTTCCTAGCCTGACTGCCCTGAGCAAAGTTTTCATCGTGACTGGCAACCCGGGAATATGACCAAGTTAAGCCATCACAATCCACATGGGACTTGACACTACAAGTGGCCGTTCCATATTCAGGCTTTTTATCTAATTCACTGCAGGGCAAGTTTTATCCCTAAGCATCTATTTGCTCTACTGTTGTAATGCTGAGACACTTTTTCATACTTGGGTATTATTTGGGATTTTATTTTTTATTTTATTGTGTTTTTTCAGAAGGGTCTCTCTCTGTCGCTCAGGCTGGAGTGCAGTGGCATGATCTCGGCTCATCCCAACCTCCGCCTCCCAGGCTCAAGCAATTCTCCTGCCTCAGCCCCCAGCCGAGTAGCCAGGATTACAGGCGTGTACCACTACTGCCTGGCTAATATTTGTATTTTAGTAGACACAAGGTTTCACCATGTTGGCCAGGCTGGTCTTGAATTCCTGACCTCAAATGATCCACCCACCTTGGCCTCCCAAAGTGCTAGGATTATAGGTGTGAGTTACCGCGCCCAGCCATTATTTGGGATATTAACTTAGTTTTTCATTCTGCCTCAGCAGTGGAAGTCTGGGCATGTGGTACCAAAACAGGACCAGAGAGAAAAGAGCAAGCAGGCAGACAGCTCCCTGCCTCATCCCAGCTGCCGATGACCCAAGTTCTGGCCTAAGTGTGTATGGGGCCAGCAGAAGATGAAGGGCAGGAATAAAACCTCCTTACAGAGAATCAAAGGGAGCTAATTTCATTTTGAAGCCAATTTAGGGATTATTTCTATTCTCCAAAATTAGGAATAATTTCTACAATTGCAACTGAGGAAATGGCTTAAATGAGAAGAGAAAGATCTGAAATTATAGATGTACTATGTGATCCCAAATACAAAAATTAAGTGGCTAAACACAAGAATATGAAGAAACTATAAGTGGTCTAAGGACAGGGGTTATAATTCTTAATATTGAGATAGAGCAAAGGTCCGGGGATCACAAATGGAACTGTGCATTTAATCCCAGAACTGGCTGGCTCAACTACCTACCCCTTATACTCACAACCCCGCTTGCATGCTCCTTCCCATGACAACTCCTCTAAGTCTTCCTGTTAATTTCCTGTGTCATAGTGTGTGTGTGTGTGTACATAGCGATGGCTGGGAAATCACGGACAAGGAGTTAAACGAGAAGAGTTAGTCTTTTCAATGCCACTTCCCCACATGCAACCCCCAGAGTTGGTTCATTCTTTTTTGAGACAGTCTTGCTCTGTCACCCAGGCTGGAGTGCAGTGGCACAAACACGGCTCACTGCGGCCTCGACCTCCTGGGCTCACCTGATGCCCCTGCCTCAGCCTCCCATGCAGCTGGGACCACAGGAGTGAGCCATCATACCCAACTAACTTTCTGAATTTTTCTGTAGAGACAGAGGTCTTACATTGTTGCCCAGGCTAGTGTCGAACTCCTGGGTTCAAGCAATCCTCCTGCCTGAGCCCACAGAAGTGCTGGGATTACAGGCATGAGCCACCAAGCCTGCCTTCACTGCTGTGTTTTTTTTTTTTAATTCAAACATGAACTTGAACCAGACACTGTTTCTTTATATAAAACCGTAAAACTGTTTTATTTTTCAAGGATCCCCATATAAAGTTTCTTTAAAGAGGCAATGTATTTGTAGTGCCAGGCTCAGTTCATATCCTGGAGTATATAATATAAGAAGTCTATTACTCACCTCGAGTAACATCTGTCAGAAACAAAATGTTGTTGGTTGAGCACCCAATGCTGTCTGCAATCTTTCGGTAACTTTCACTCTCTACTTTGTGTCCAATCTTGGTATCAAAGTGACCATCAACAAGCTGAACAAAGAGAAGGGGAAAGACTGGCAATACAAATACACTTGCATGCCCCTCATGCCTTTCTCTGAAATACATGACAATCACAATTACTTCATTCGTTCAGTATTTTCTGAAAATCTACTTAATAGGGAACTTTATGGAGGCTATACAAAGTAAAAATAAAGATTTTATAGCAACAGACATTTGGAAGAAGAAAACTACCAGCTCAACATACATAAGATCATTTCATAATCTACCTGGTTTTCACTACCGTTCATTTTACATCTGAAATAGTTTAAAATAAACATGCCCTACATCCTACCCTTAAAGATGATTTGCACTCAAACTACTCACTGGATTGAATTTTACTCCTGATGAAAGATTCTGAACACTGTCCTTTAATCTTACGATGAAAAAATTTCTCTAACCTGCCTCATGAATAAGCTATTATTTTACTTACAAGAAATTCTCATTTTCTAGTTAAAACGTTTTGAAATTCTACCCAAGGGCTCGTCTATGTCTCTGCCCTCTTGGAAACAATTGGAGTCAAATCTGTAACTTGCTAATTTGACCAACAGTAATTAAAATAAGTCCATATTTAGGGTCAGTTACTAAGATGTGATCTTTTGAATGTTTTCAGAACTTTTCACAAACTAAAAACAAGCATAGTAAGCACTCAAACTGGGTTTGGCCAATGGGAAGGTAAAAAAAAAAAAAAAAGTAATTTTAAGTTTTTTTTTTTTAAAGTTAAAACTGATTTTGCTTATTTTCTTTTTCTTGCAGTTTGCCTCACTTGGTAACTAGAGAGTAAAATTCTTATTAGTGAACTCAGTAGGTACTTTTGTCCTGTCATGATTGTCAGAGAGAGCAGAAAAGAAGTTGTATCTGTATTAAGAGAACAGTCACCAATGATTAAAGGGTTTCATTATTAATATTTGATTTAAAAATAAGACAGAAAGTAGGAAAATACTAAAATTAGAATATTACAACCTCCAAAGCCAAAGTGTTCTTTGCACATGGTAGGTGCTCAATACATATTTATTTTAAAAACTTGTCTGGCCAAGTTACCTATTGTAAGTAACCTATTATAAGTTCGGTCTATATTCAAGTTACCTATTGTAAGTTAAAATAAGTAAATTTTTTTTTTTTTGAGATGGAATCTCACTCTATCGCCCAGGCTGGAGTGCAGTGGCACGATCTCAGCTCACTGTAAGCTCCGCCTCCTGGGTTCAAGCCATTCTCCTGCCTCAGCCTCCCGAGTAGCTGGGACTACAGGTGCCCGCCACCACGTCCGGCTAATTTTTTTTTTTTGTATTTTTAGTAGAGACGGGGTTTCACCATGTTAGCCAGGATGGTCTCGATCTCCTGACCTCGTGATCCGCCCACCTTGGCCTCCAAAAGTGCTGGAATTACAGGCGTGAGCCACTGCGCCCGGCCGGTAAATATTTATTTTTAAAAAGTATCTGGTCAAGTTACCTATTGTAAGTAACCTATTTTAAGTTAAGTCTATATTCCAAGTTACCTATTGTTAAGTTTGGTCTATATTCAGCTAATCAGCACTTCTTTTTAAAACCCTAAATGTAGTCACTTCTTTCACTGATCACCCCATCCTCCAGGGGGTGCAGGGATGATGACACAGAGGGGCTAGCAAGAATTTTCTCATGTACATGAAATGCAACAGGTGACGACCTTATTACATTTAAAAATGTGCCTGGTTCTCCTATAATAATGCTGGTTCTTCTTAAATGAAATCTATATTTCTTCAAAGAGCCAGAAACAAATGAGTGCACCTTGTTCTCTGCTGTATTCAAAAAGTCTTTATATATTTCTCAGGACTGCACAATCCTATTTTGCATCCTAACTGATTTTATTTTTCAAGACACAGAATAAACTTTATATAACAACCTTATATAGAAGAAACTGTAAATACAATATAATTAAAAGTGATTATTTTCTTCTTACCTAATTTTAAACAACCAAAAAAAAAAAAGCATTCTATTAGTTCCAATTAGTTTTCCATTAAGATTCATTATTTTATGCTTTGATAGCGTCAAAACAACAAAGTAAACTAGGTAACCTACCTCAAGAATATCTCCCTCCGTAGAATGCCCGAATAACAGTTTCTGTGCCTCCACACTCCCTGAGGAATAGATGTACACCTTCATTCCGGCCTCTCTCCACTTCCTGACTGCTGGAACTACATCTGCAAAGAACCTAGAGGGAAGACCACTAAGTTAAAATACAGGAACACCTCATCTAGCCAGATAAAAACCTGTCAAAACAGATGCCATATGTTTCTCTCTTTGTGCCCACATGGTAACCTGAGAAGCAGCTCCCTGAGACTACAAACTCCTGCAGTTCTAATAAACATACTGCCCAAGTTCCAGGCTCACAGCAGATTAGAAGCAACAATCTATGTGGAAAGGAGGATAGTTTTGAACAGACAGCCACTAGTGACAGTAAAAAGGGACTACAGATAAAAGGATGAAATGGGAAAGTGTTTTTTAAATTCCCGAAGAACTCAAAAAAGCAAACAACAGCAATGATATAATATAATCTTTGATGTTCTTCATGACAAGAAAAGGTTAAATTATGTCCACTGTGCTTTAAGAAAGCATGGAAATGCTTTTAGAAAGATCTGCACCCAAAATAATCAAAACAAAGTTTGAAGGCTCAAAGCTATAAACTTATGATTAGCTAGAAAATGGAATTACTTTTTTTTGAGACAGGGTCTTGCTCTGTTGCCTAGGCTGGAGTGCAGTGGCATGATCTCAGCTCACTGCAACCTCTACCTCCTGGGCTCGAGTGATCCTCCCACCTCAGCCTCCCAGGTAGTTGGGACTACAAGCATGTGCTACCACCCCCAGCTTTTTTTTTTTTTTTTTAATTTTTTGTAGAGATGGTGCTTTGCCATGTCACCCAGGCTGGTCTCAAACTCCTGGACTCAAGTGATCCCCCCACTTCAGCCTCCCAAAGTGCTGGGATTACAGGCATGAGCCACTGCACCCGGCCTGCATTTTTTGAGAACTAAGAAAACAATGTTTTATTATATGGGGAAAAAATTACATAACAAGTCAGTTGAGACTTGTACCAACTCACATTAACCAGTCAGCAAAAGATGTCTTTTTCTGACTTCTGACACTCAGTCTCTCTTACCAATTCTAGTGTTTTCCATAGTCATGGAGGAAATTAACATCACAGGAGAAAGGTGAAAAGAGAAGCACAAAGAACTTGGGTTGTAGAACCAGTCATCTCTAAAAGATTACCTGGAAAATGTCAGTGGAGTCTTCCGCTTTATATGTATTAACATGCTTAACATGTTGCACTAATTGAAGGAAAGAGATCAACGTATTCAAAACCAGTACACATGTAAGTATGTTATTCTGAGTACTAGTTTGCACTCATGGAGACAGGATTTTTCCTGTCTTCAGCAGTTAGTTGTATAATTAAGGAACCAAGACCAAGAGAAGTATGGGCTAACTACCGGGTGCACAGTCTCCTGTCTCCACTTTTTTGAGTGCTTTACAAAGTGAACCTGGCTGATATTCCCAGATCACTGGCATATCCTGAAATTCCAGTCCATCCTTTAAAAGGTAGAAGCTCCTCGTAAAGTACATAAATAAAGAAACAACATCTCATTTGACAGAAACACAAAAGAAATATATGCAGCTGGAAACAATCTTGGATCCTAGGGTTTACAGCAGGCAATGGCCTAAAATCCTTAAGAATTTCACACCCAGGTGCAGTGGCTCACACCTGTAATCCCAGCACTTTGGGAGGCCAAGGGGGGGCGGATCACAAGGTCAGGAGATCGAGAGCATCCTGGCTAACACGGTGAAACACTGTCTCTACTAAAAATACAAAAAATTAGCCGGGCGTGGTGGCACACGCCTGTAGTCCCAGCTACTCGGGAGGCTGAGGCAGGAGAATGGCGTGAACCCAGGAGGCGGAGCTTGCAGCGAGCTGAGATCACGCCACTGCACTCCAGCCTGGGTGACAGAGCAAGACTCCGTCTCAAAAAAAAAAAAAAAAAAAGAATTTCTCAGCAGGCCTGGCACAGTGGCTCACGCCTGTAATCCTAGCACTTTGGGAGGCCAAGGTAGGTGGACTGCCCTGAGCTCAGGAGCTTAAGACCAGCCTGGACAACATGATAAAACCCTGTCTCTACTAAAATACAAAAAATTAGCCAGGTGTGGTGGCACGCACCTGTAGTCCCCGCTGTTTGGGAGGCTGAGGTACAAGAATTGCTTGAACCCAGAGGGCGGAGGTTGCAGTGAGCTAAGATTGTGTGAATGCACTCCATCCTGGACAACAGAGTGAGACTATCTCCAAAAACAAAAATAGGCCGGGAGGGGTGGCTCATACCTGTAATCCTAGCAGTTTGGGAGGCTGAGATGGGGTGGACCACTTGAGGTCAGGAGTTCAAGACCAGCCTGGCCAATATGGTGAAACCCCATGTCTACTAAAAATACAAAAATTAGCATAGTGGCAGGCGGCTACTCCAGAGGCTGAGGCAGGAGAATCGCTTGAACCCAGGAGGTAGAAGTTGCAGTGAGCTGAGATTGCGCCACTGCACTCCAGCCTGGGCAAAGAGCAAGACTCGGTCTCAAAGCAAAAACAGAAACAAACAAACGAAAAGAATTTATCAGCAATATGGTATGGACAACATAGCAAGACCACACCTCTACAAAAATGTTTTTTGAATAGCCAGGTGTGGTGGTGCGTGCCTGTGGTCCCAGCTAATGAGGAGGCTGAGGCGGGAGGTTCACTTGAAGGCTACAGTGAGCTATGATGGCACCACTGCACTCCAGTGTGGATCACAGAGCAAGACCCCAGCTCTAAAAAAAAAAAAATAGGCCAGGTATTGTGACTTACGCCTGTAACCCCAGCATTTTGGGAGTCCAAGGCAGGCAGATCGCTCAAGCCCAGAAGTTTGAGACTAGCCTGGGCAACATGGTAGAACCCCATCTGTACTAAAAATACAAAAACTAGCTGGGCATGGTGGCACATGCCTAGTCCCAGCTACTCGGTAGGCTGAGGTGGGAGGATCACCTGAACTAGGGGAGGTCAAGGCTGCAGTGAGCCATGATCATGCCACTGCACTCCAGCCAACAGAGTAGGACCCTGTCTGAATCAATCAAGAATTTCTCAGTAAGTATAATACTCAAAAGTCTCCTCAGGCAGGAGTGCTATTAGGAACTCCATAACCAAGACTCAAAGAATCTGTGGAAGTTGCTCAAAAGAGCAAAGAAGAACGTGGTAGTGCGGACATCCTCTGAGTAACCTCAACACGGTGGGGCACAAAATTTCCTATGTCTCATAGAGCAAAAAGCAGGTAATTAACAGTCCAGGCAAGCAGCCCAACGGAGCTGTCACTCATGTGCTAAGAATCAAATATGACTTAGTTCAAGGAAGTCACCATTTTCTAGGAAGCTATTTTAAACGGAGACTTTGACAAGTCCTTCAATCAACCCACAAGACCAGACTGGCAGGTCCGGGTAATCTAGTCAGCTGAAATATTTTAGCCAAGTTTTGAAAAAATGAAACAAAGCTCACTTGTTAGACTAAAAAGAGTGTGGATTTTTATCTGTTTTACCAGTCTTGTGACTTACGCTGGAAAGAGAGGACTGGTGAAAAAACATATTTGGATTTGGGACTGGTGAAATGTTTAGGCTGACTCAAGCACATACTCTGCTTTCATGCGCCCAGCTGTGAATGCCGCCCTCCACATGTGGCCCTGCAGCTGTTTGAGTGCAGTGGTCTTTCGATCCAGGGACATCTGCCAGCACACATTATCTACCACGGCCTGGATCATCTGTTGCAGATCATCCACTCCATTCCCAGATGCTGCAGGGATAGGAACAGCCCCATCCAGGTGGGCGTCCTCTTCAGCCTTTAAGTCAGAAACAACATGATGTTTGTTTTTTGCTTATTCAAAAAACAGTCATTTAAAACGAGACCCAAAAACCCAGCAGAACAACTTTCTCCATCATTAGCCCTAGTATGGCTGCAAATTGAAACATCATATACTTTGGAGCTGATACAAATGATTCCTAAAAGAACCTGGATTAATAAATTTACATTACCTTTCCTTTTGCTAAAAGCTGAAATTTAAACTGAGACGCATGTTGTATATGAGAAGAGAGAGCACATAATGATAGAATTAAGATTTGATTTGTTGATTCACTACTGGGATCAACAAACCAGGACTTTAACTCAATCTGATAATTTTCTCTGCACTATAACTAATGGAGAAAGAAACAAAGAAAATCTCATAAATTAGTTTATGCCTGGAATTCAGCAAAAAGAAGCTAGTGAAGTAATGAGGTTGGTTCACATTCAGTCTCCTATAATCTCCCACATCTTGCAAAAATCCTAGTAGCCACTTAGAACAATGACCTTGTGACAAAGCAGTCCAATTTCTAAAGATACATGTGTACATATTTATATACAATAATGGGGGACTATGTATGTATGTTTCAACAAGGTTTTGACAACAAAAAAAGGTAAGGGAGGAAAGTAAAGTAAGTCCTCATTTAACATCATTGAAAGGTTCTTGGAAACTGTGACTTCAAGTGGCATGACCTTCTCAAGTAATGTCATTTCCTTCAACATCATTTTGTTATAACATTTATGTGGAGAAAAAATTGGTTTTGTTATGGTTGGTTTAAAATTGAAAATTGAAATTTAAGTGTCATTTCACTTAGTTTCCAAGAACCTAAAGACAACATTAAGTAAGGACTCACTGTATTTCAGATTAACCCTGAGTTATCCAGAAAATTAAAATCCCAAATATTCCATGCCCAAAGGACATAACTACATTTTGAATCCTAATTCCTAACAGTAAAACATCCACAGAGAGCATTCCACAGTATCCAATATAGAACTAGAAAATAACTGCCAGTGAGTTAGCTCTGCAGACCATGTAAGATCTTTGCCACTGAAGCAATTTTAACAAGAAAAACAACAGAGCAGGAGTTCCATAGCACACAATGTGGAAGGAAAAGACAGACTGATGACTGGTGGGGAGAAGAGGGTAGAACAAAGCACAGGAGACCAAAGGAGGTATGAGGGCTGGGCCAGAGTGAGCTGGGGTGAGGAGTCTGGAAGGGGAGTGTGAGTGTGAGGACCCAGGAGCACTGCAGAGGGGGCAGCAGGGGCTTGCAGTAAGGAAGGAGGGAGTGCAAAATGATGAAGTACTGTCATATGGAGAATGACATGGCTTGGATGTGTGTCCCCACCCAAATTGCACATTGAAATGTAATCCTCAGTGCTGGAGGTGAGGCCTAGTGGGAGGTGACTGGATCGCGGGGATAGACTTCTCGTGAATGGTTTGTTTAGCACCATCCTCCTTGATGCTGTCCTCACAATAGTGAGTTCTGGTTGTTTTAAAGTGTGTAGCACCTCCCCTCCCCACTCTCTTGCTCCTGACTTTCACCATCTGAGACGCCTGCTCCGGCTTTGCCTTCCATCATGATTAGAAGCTTCCTGAGGTCTCCCCAGAAGCAGATGCCGCTATGTTTCCTGTATAGCCTGTAGACCTGTGAGCCAATTAAACCTCTTTTCTTAAAAATTACCCACTCTCAGGTATTTCTTTACAGCAATGTGAGAACAGACTAATATAGAGACGTTAATAAAAAATGTAGAGACTGCTCAAAACCTTTTGCATTCTACCCAGAAAGGACTCTTTTTTTTTGAGACGGAGTCTTGCTCTGTAGCCCAGGCTAGAGTGCAGTGGCGCCATCTCGGCTCACTACAACCTTCACCTCCCACGTTCAAGCAATTCTCCTGCCTCAGCCTCCCAAGGAGTTGTGACTACAGGTGCCCGCCACCATGTCCGGCTAATTTTTTGTATTTTTTTTTTTTTTTTTTTTTTTTGAGACGGAGTCTCGCTCTGTCGCCCAGGCTGGAGTGCAGTGGCGGGATCTCGGCTCACTGCAAGCTCCGCCTCCCGGGTTCACGCCATTCTCCTGCCTCAGCCTCCCAAGTAGCTGGGACTACAGGCGCCGGCCACTACGCCCGGCTAATTTTTTGTATTTTTAGTAGAGACGGGGTTTCACCGTTTTAGCCGAGATGGTCTCGATCTCCTGACCTCGTGATCCGCCCGCCTCGGCCTCCCAAAGTGCTGGGATTACAGGCGTGAGCCACCGCGCCCGGCCTAATTTTTTGTATTTTTAGTAGAGGCAGCGTTTCACCATTTTGGCCAGGCTGGTCTCAAACTCCTGACCTCGAGTGATCCACCCACCTCGGCCTCCCAAAGTGCTGAGATTACAGGTGTGAGCCACCGTGCCCAGCCTAGAGTTGCCTTTTTCTAGAGCTATTTAAATTGCCTAACAATATCATATATTTGCAAACTTAAGCCCTTTTTGGGTGGGCTGGGGGTGGTAAGCTCATGCCTGTAATCCCAGCACTTTGGGAGGCCGAGGAGGGTAGATCACTTGAAATCAGGAGTTCTAGACCAGCCTGTCCAATGCGGTGAAACCCAATCTCCACTAAAAATACAAAAAATTAGCTGGGCATGGTGGCAGGTGCCTGTAGTCCCAGCTACTCGGGAGGCTGAGGCAGGAGAATCGCCTGAACCCAGTAAGCGAGGTTGCAGTGAGCTAAGATCACACCACCACACTCCAGCCTGGGCAACGAAGTGAGACTCCATCTCAAAAAAAAACAAAAAAAACAAAACAAAACAAAACAAAAAAAAACAACCAAAGAGCAACTCCAGAAACAACAAACTGACATGATCCAGCCTTTAATTATGTACTGTGAATTCCTAAGCAGGCAACTCACTAAGTCACTGCAACTTCTATCCCCTATCAAACCAGGGCACTTATTTTACAAAATGCTCAGAGCATGTCCTAAATCTCCAGGTACCCTCATTTCTAAGACACTTGGGAATTTAAGACAGAAATGTCCCAACCTGTTTCCTCAAAAGACTGACATCCTGCTGGCACTCCTCTTCTTCCCAATGTGTCTGCAGATACTCTTTAACATTTTCTTCGATGTAAGGAAATAAAATGTCCTGGATAAAAGAGTAAAAGAAAATACAAGAGTTAGCTTTTATCAGTTGTAAAAGATCCAGTTCTTCCACAATCTTACCTACATAACTGTAACAAATAAATCAATGGAACTCTATGAAAATTGCTGCTGTGAATATGAGCAAGAAAGAGAGACAGAGGCCAAGAAACAAATAAACTAGACCAAGAGTCGGCAAACTACAACCTGCAGGCCAAATCAAGTCCACTGCCTATTTCTGTAAATGAAGTTTTATTGGAACATAGCCACACTCATTTATTTAAATAATGTCTGTGGCTACTTTTGCATCACAATGGCAGAATTCAGTATTTGCAACCAAGACCATAGGGCCTGCAAAGCCTAAAATATTCACTGTCTGGTCCTTTACAGGAAAAGTCTCCCAACTACAGAACTAGATGGCCAGACCAAAGGTCCTTGAGGATATGGATTAAATGTGTCTTGCTCACAGCTTTATCCCCCATGCATACCACATTATTGTACATATCACTCAAATAATCTGCTGAAAAGAATGGTGTCCATACATGACAAGTATTTAAAAAAAAACAAAACAAACTTGATCACCATGACTCTTTCTTGGTAACTAGACTACCTTTGGAGCATCCTATAAGAAAGTGATATGCAGCTGGGCATGGTGGCTCACACTTGTAATCCTAGCACTTTGGGAGGCCGAGGCAGGCAGATCACCTGAGGTCAGGAGTTTGAGACCAGCCTGGCCAACATGGTGAAACCCTGTCTCTACTAAAAATACAAAAATTAGCCAGGTGTGGTGGCGGGTGCCTGTAATCTCAGGTACTCGGGAGGCTGAGGCAGGAGAATCGCTTGAACCTGGGAGGCAGAGGTTGCAGTAAGCTGAGATCCCATCATTGTATTCCAGCCTGGGGGACAGAATAAGATTCCGTTGGCCAGGCGCGGTGGCTCACGCCTGTAATCCCAGCACTTTGGGAGGCCGAGGCGGGTGGATCATGAGGTCAGGAGATCGAGACCATCCTGGCTAACAAGGTGAAACCCCGTCTCTACTAAAAATACAAAAAATTAGCCGGGCGCGGTGGCGGGCGCCTGTAGTCCCAGCTACTCGGGAGGCTGAGGCAGGAGAATGGCGTGAACCCGGGAAGCGGAGCTTGCAGTGAGCCGAGATTGCGCCACTGCAGTCCGCAGTCCGGCCTGGGCGACAGAGCGAGACTCCGTCTCAAAAAAAAAAAAAAAAAAAAAAAAAAAAGATTCCGTCACACAAAAAAAAAAAAAAGTGATGTGCAAAACAATTCAGTAATAAATAACCTGTCAGTAATCCATGCATTAGGAATTTCTTTCCCAGTCAGGCTTCTACCTCCGCTTTTTACTAGCTGTGTTCAAACAACTTATGCTCCTGAGCCACAGTTTTCTCATTTGCTACACAGGACTAACACAAGGCAAAGTCATCGGAGGATTGCACTGTCTAATGGAAAGCACCTGGCATCTTACCACTTAATATGTTCTTTTTTTTTTTTGAGATGGAGTCTTGCTTTATTGCCCAGGCTGGAGTGCAGTGGTGAGATCTCGGCTCACTGCAACCTCCCTCCGCCTCCCGAGTTCAAGAGATTGTCCTGCCTCAGCCTCCCAAGTAGCTGGGATTACAGGCACCTGCCACCACACCCGGCTAATTTTTGTATTTTTAGTAGACACAGGGTTTCACCATGTTGGCCAGGCTGGTCTTGAACTCCTGACCTCAAATGATCCACCGGCCTCAGCCTCCCAAAGTGCTGGGATTACAGGCGTGAGTCACTGTGCCTGGTGATATATTCTTAACATATTCTCCAGCACATGCAGTTAAACTGAGCAAGGATTACCCAAATTTCATGATAAATAATAGCAGAGAAGTTCCCAGAAGATAAATCACAAGCACAACCAACTTATTCATTCAACTTTCCTGAGAGCCTACAGAGAGCAGGACACTGGAGTTATGAAGCCACTCTTCTCAGAGAACTCAAGGAAATAAAAGGTGCAAGGTTTCAAACAATATTGAATGTTCGAGAACAGCCTTAGAAGTTGGAGATTACTTTAGAGTTCCTGATCATCCAATATGCCCCTCTCCTCATCTATAAAATGCGCCACTGTACTAAGTCATCACAAAAGCTAGACAATGAGGCTAGAATTTAGTATAACATCTGGACTATAAATATTATTTGCTGCTGGGCATGGTGGCTCATGCCTGTAATCCCAGCATTTTGGGAGGCCAAGGCAGTAAGATCACTTGAACCCAGGAGTTCAAGACCAGCCTGACCCTGTCTCCACAAAAAATTAAAAAGCTAGCTGGGCATGGTGATGCACATCTGTGGTCCCAGCTACTTGGAGGGGCTGAGATAGGAGAATTACTTGACCCCAGGAGGCTGAGGCTGCAGTGAGCTGTGATTGCACCACTGCACTCCACCCTGGGTAACAAAGCGGGACTCCTACTCAAAAAACAAACAAAAAAACAAATGATTTACAGTCAACATGTTAGCAGACGGTACTATTTTAGTGCAAAAGTGTTACTGCATAAAAGTATGTACATGAAATAATCAACTAAATTGTGAAAATTTTATCCAATCTTTCAACATACTTATTGAGAATATCTGTAAGACAAATACAATGCCTTCAAGTTGCTTATTAAATGGCCTGGCATGTACTATCATACATTATAAGAATTTTTTTTTTCTTTTTTGAGACAGAGTCTTGATCTGTCACTCAGGCTGGAATGCAGTGGTGACAATTACAGCTCACTCCTGTCTTGAACTCCTGGACTCAAGAGATCGTCCCACCTCATCCTCCTGAGTAGATGGGATTACAGGTGTGCACCACCTGTAATTAGCCTTGCTAATTTTTTAAAAAATGTTTTGTAAAGACAAGATCTCGCTATGTTGCTCAGGCTGGTCTTGAACTCCTGAGCTTAAGCAATCATCCCACCTCAGCCTCCTAAAGTGCTGGGATTACAGGCATAAACCACAGTACCCATTGACAATAAATGTTTTAACTTCAGTTATAATCCACTTACAGATAATTTCAGAATACTATAGTATGACAAATATGCTACAATAAACTCAGGATTCTACAAATAAATGTGCGAATATTTTCAGTCCACCAGGCACTTAGGGAGTTGTTATGATTTAGCAGTACATACAACAAAAGGCTATAGAACTAGAGTTATTTGCCTTGTAGGGGAATATGATTAAATTCCATTAGATGTTACAGAGGATACTGTGCAAGCAGCAATTTATATTACTCTGCAAAGCTCAGTGATCGCTTACTGAAAGAGCCATGAAATTTCGAAGACCTAATTTAAAAAGTTGCCTTGTAAATGTTTAGAAGTTCAAATATGGATATGCTTTACGGTCACGTGGTTGTTTTAATGAAAAGGTCATAGAATTAATAAAAATCAAACTGTTGTTACCGTATTTATTCATCTCCTTTGAAGAAAACGGGTAATAAAAGGTACCTCCTAAAAATAGTGCTGAGAGGCCAGGCCAACACAGTGAAACCCCGTCTCTACTAAAAAAACAAAAATTAGTCGGGGCGTGGTGGTACACGCCTATAGTCCCAGCTACTCCGGAGGCTGAGACAAGAGAAATGCTTGAACCCGGGAGGCGGAGGTTGTAGTGAGCCGAGATTGTGCCACTGCACTGCAGCCTAGGTGAGAGAGTGAGACTCCGTCTCAAAAAAAAAAAAAAGAATAGTGCTGAGAGTACAGCTACATAAAGAAACTACTTTAAAAGCTTTCTGGCCGGGCGCCGTGGCCCACGCCTGTAATCCCAGCACTTTGGGAGGCCGAGGCAGGTGGATCACTTGAAGTCAGGAGTTCGAGACCAGCCTGGCCAACATGGCGAAACCCTGTTTCTACTAAAAATACAAAAATTATCTGGATGTGGTGGCGCGAGCCTGTAATCCCGGCTACTTGGGAGACTGAGGCAGGAGAATCGCTTGAACCCGGAAGTAGAAGTTGTAGTGAGCTGAGATCACACCACTGTACTCCAGCCTGTACTCCCTGGGTGACAGGGAGACTCTGTCTCAAAAAAAAATAAAAATAATAAATAATAAATAAAACAAAAGCCCTCCAAGGGAACTATACAATGCAAATGATTTATAGTACTTGAGAACTTAGTATTTTTTAGAAAACAAATTAAACAACACAAAAGCAATATTGTGGGCTATTATTTCCCTTTTTTTTTTGAGACTGGAGTCTCACTCTGTCCCAGGCTGGAGGGCAGTGGCACAATCTCAGCTCACTGCAAGCTCCACCTGCTGGGTTCATGCCATTTTCCTGCCTCAGCCTCCCGAGTAGCTGGGACTTCAGGCGCCCGCCACCACGCCCGGCCAATTTTTTGTGTTTTTAGTAGAGACGGGGTTTCACCATGTTAACCAGGATGGCCTCGATCTCCTGACCTCGTGATCTGCCAGCCTCGGCCTCCCAAAGTGCTGGGATTACAAGCGTGAGCCACCGCGCCCAGCCCCCATTGGTGGGCTATTATTTCTTTCTTTTTTTTTTGGACGGAGTGCAGTGGCATGATCTTGGCTCACTGCAACTTCGTCTCCTGGGCTCAGGTGATCCTCCCACCTCAGCCTCCTGAGTAGCTGGGACTACAGGCGTGAGCCACCATACCCAGCTAATTTTTTGAATTTTTAGTAGAGATGGGGTTTCGCCATGTTAGCCAGGCTGGTCTCAAGCTCGTGGACTCAGGCAATCATCCCATCGCGGCCTCCCAAAGTGCTGGCATTACAGGCATGAGCCACCATGACCGGCCCCACATAAATTTATGTTGCTTTTTATTCTCTAACATTAATAGAGACATACGCCCGGGCGCGGTGGCTCCGCCTGTAGTCCCAGCACTGTGGGAGGCCAAGGCCAGTGATCACTTGAGGTCACGAGTTTGAGATCAGCCTGGCCAACATGGTGAAACCCCCTCTCTACTAAAAACAAAAACTTAGCCAGGTGTGGTGGCTCGCGCCTGTAATCCCAGACATGAGAATTGCTTGAACCCAGGAGGAAAAGGTCACGGTAAGCCAAGATCACGCCACTGCACGCCAGCCTGGGCGATAGAGCAGGACTCTGTCTCAACAACAACAAACAAAATTAACTGGCTTGATGGTTCCTAAATATAAATCACATCATACAAATAATTAATAAAACAGGTTACAAACAGTATGTACAGCATAATCCTATCGGGGGGATATTTAACACACTGAACAAAATATGAGAGAACATGAACTTAAATGTTTACAAAGGTTCTCTCTGGGTTATGACATTAAAAGAAACTTTTTTGCATATCTCTTTTCTGCAATAAAAATGTATAACCTTAATAGTGCTAAAAGTTAGCAAAACTAAGTGTTAAAAAAAAAATCATAGATTGCCGACAGTGTTTTTTTTGTTTGTTTTTTTGAGACAGAGTCTCGCTCTGTCACCCAGGGTGGAATACAATGGTGCGATCTCAGCTCACTGCAACCTCCACCTCCTGAGTTCAAGCAATTTTCCTGCCTCGGCCTCCTGAGTAGCTGGGATTACAGGTGTGTGCCACCACGCCCAACTGATTTTTGCATTTTTAGTAGAGATGGGGTTTCACCATGTTGGCCAGGCTGGTCTCGAACTCCTGACCTCTGATGATCCCCCGCATCTTGGCCTCCCAAAGTGCTGGGATTACAGGAGCCACCACCAAGCTGGCCTGCTGACAGTGTTTTAAATAAAATCACCCCCTACAAAGACAAATAATTAAAGGCTGTATCCAGTGAATAAACTTAGGGGAAATTACATGCAATGGACAAGAAGAGCTAGTTATCTGAGGCAGAATGACTGAAGAATTTAGCAAAATCCAAATTCCAATCAGAATGACTACACTGTGACTTCAAGAGAATAGAGCTTTATCGGCACAGGTAGTGAATCAGCTATACTATGATCAGTCTGAAGAAAGACCACATTTGTGCTGAGCCACTTTTCTTCCCTGGCTCAAAGTCACTTACTTTGATGATCTTGTCACCTAGCATCTTTCTCTGTTAAAGTTAGCCTTCCCATGTAGTTTTCCCACAGATGTTTACTGCCAGATGTCTGTGATAATAGTATTAGGAAAATGTAATACATTAGGCTTTTTTGGTTTTTTAAATTTATTTTTGTTGTTGTTGTTGTTGTTTTTGTAGAGACAGTCTCACTATGTTGCCCAGGCGGGTCGTGAACTCCTGGGCTTAAGTGATCCTCCCATCTCAACCTCTCAAAGTGCTGGGAGTAAATAACTGTCACAAGATCTGATGGTTTTTACTTTATTTTATTTTATTTTGAGATGCAGTCTCGCTCTGTCGCCCAGGCTGGAGTGCAGTGGCGCCATCTCAGCTCACTGCAAGCTCTGCCTCCCGGGTTCACGTCATTCTCCTGCCTCAGCCTCCAGAGTAGCTGGGACTACAGGCACCCGCCACCACGCCTGCCACCACACCCGGCCAATTTTTTGTATTTTTAGCAGAAACGGGGTTTCACCGTGTTAAACAGGATGGTCTCGATCTCCTGACCTCGTGATCTGCCCACCTTGGCCTCCCAAACAGCTGGGATTACAGGCATGAGCCACCACACCTGACAACCTGATGGTTTTATAAAGGGGAGCTCCCTTGAACATGCCCTCTTGCCTGCCACCATATAAAATATCCCTTTGCTCTTCCTTCTTCTTCCACCATGATTGTGAGGCCTCCCCAGCCATGTGGAACTGTAAGTCCATTATACCTCTTTCCTTTATCAACTACTCAGTCTCAGGTATGTCTTTATTAGCAGCATGAGAACAGACTAATACACCAAGCTTTGTTTAAATACTTCTAACAACGAGAATTGCTACTTTTTGGAGTGGTCCATGCCATCTGCCAGATAGTTTCAGCAGTTGTGGTATTAGAATTGCTCTTCAAAAAGGCTTCCTGAAGACCACAGTAGGAGCTATCAAGAAGTTTCTGTGTTCTGGCTGCCACATGGGGCCACATGGTCTCAGGAATTAAAATCCTACTGTCCTCGTCTTCATGGGAGTAAACAGGGCTGGACCCATACAAGGGGTGTAGGTTGAAAACTGAAAGCTTAGGAATGAACATCAGATTTCACATGTGCATTCAAAATGAATTAATCAATGTGGTGCTGATAAGACAAAAGATAGCCCCATTAAGGAGATTAAATTATAATTAACAAAAGATACACTGTTATCTAATTAAGTGCAATGAATCACACTGAACAAGGGATTGTTATCAGTACAAGAGGGCTAGTAATTGGAGTAAGGTTTTAAGAAGCAGCACAAAAGAAACAGAGTATCTCCAATGAGTTCCAGAAAGGGAACTTGACTGGCCCAGAGTCCTAGTCCTTAACAGTGGAGGGGAAAGGAAGGCATTCACATTCATCTCCTTGAATCTGCCTAACATCCCTGCAAAGTAAGCCTTCTTTCATAGAGGAAGACACTGAGGTTCAAAGAGGTTTCGCTGCTGGTGCAGAGTAAAGCCAGGACTCAAACCCAGGCCTATCAAATCCCAACACCTGAAGCCATCCAGCTCTCACGGGTGAATGACTTCAAGGAGCACTACTCACCAGGATCATCTAACTCCCTGGATCTTGACAGCATATTCTCTATGGAAATTTCTAATATAGCTTTGATTCCCCAAAGAGGTTTCATACAAAGAAAATGAGAGATTATGGTTCACCCAGTAGTTCTGTAACATTTCCTATAAAGTATCAGCAATAATAATTCAAGTAGTTATAGTAATGGGAGTAACTGCCAACATTTACTGAGCACTTACTATGACAAACACTTCTCTTTTCTATCTATAATCACTCCTTTGTGATCTTACCTAATTCCATGACTTTAAATACCATTTATACTAATGATCCCCAAATCCTTACCTTTAGCTTGGACCTTTTCCAAATGCCTACCCAATATCCCCACTTGCATGTCTATTCAGTATCTCAAACTAAACACATCTGAAACCAAACTCTTGATTCCATCCCTTAATCCTCCTCCTCCCCCTACATCTCCACATCACAGTAAATGACAGAACCATCCTTCCAGATGCTCAGGCCAAAAACCTTAGAGTCATCTTTGACTCCTCTTTCTCTCAAACTCCACATCCAACCAATCCATCAGCAAATCCCATCAGCTCTACCTTCAAAATATATTCAGATCCAATCACTTCTCACCACTGCCACCACCAAGCACTCAAAATTTACTCAACTTACTGATAATGTCATTTTAATCTTCATAATAACCCTGTGAAATTGGTGCTACTACTTCCTCCATTTTTCAGAGGCACATAAAGGTTAAGTACAAATTAACAAACTGAGATTATAGTTTACCAATCAGGTCTTTCTTTTTGAGTTTATAGAGTCAGATGCCTGGAATCTCCCCAGTATCAGATCGGGGGTAAAGATCCCACTCTTTACCCCCATCAAAGGGATCTAATTACCTTCCTGAACTTACAACGACTTGGACCCATACAAGACCAGTCCAGAGAGAGCTGGAGTAAGTATACACAAGCTTAACTGTCAAACACTGGTCTGATTGTGAGCTCCAAAGTCCCACCAAGGTCTCAATGCTGAAATTACCATTAGTTTCCAAACCGCATGCCTTAGTTTCTCTTTACTCAGTAAAGGGGTACCAGGTCCACACTTTTTAGACTTAAGAAAAGGAACTTGTTAGAAGGTCACATCATGAATCACTGGAAAGAAAATCAAGCTAAGAAATGAACCCCTCATGCACATACCTAGAAGGCAAACAACCCCTTTCTGTCCTAAAGACATTCTGTCTTTGAAAAGAAACCCATTTTCCTGAAATGGTATCACCTGGGAAAGGTCCAGAGAGGATCCAGGAGGGCCTCTGAGGATAAAGCTACCAACTTTCCACACGACTCTTTAGTGAGCTGATGGGAAAATGGGTGCAATAGGATTAGGGCAGGTTGGTTTCCACTCCTCTTCTGACCTGCACCTCCAACAAAACCAGTTTTGAAAATCAAATGAGTTGATAAATGTGAAATTCAAAGTTTCATATAAAAATAACCTTTTATTGTAAAAAAGAATACTTTGTTTTCTTTAGTGGAGTGGTAACACAGGGTAAGCTGCAAGGATAGAAAATTTTAAGACCCATCAGACAAAGAAGAAGTAAGCACTTTTCAGGGCTAAACACAGGGTATCATTTTAAAAGTCTGTATGAGCAAGATAAAATCCAGCCTATGTATTTAAAATATAGGGGTTATAGCTTAAAATCAGTGCCCCTTTTAAAAATTGTTATTTTTTCGATCACGCCACTGCATTCCAGCTCTGTCACCCAGGCTGCATGCAGTGCAGTGGCACAATCACACCTCACCACAGTCTCTACCTCCTGGGCTCAAGTGATCCTCCCACCTCAGCCTCCTGAGTAGCTGGGATTACAGGTGCACATCACCATGTCCAGCCAATTTTTTATTTTTTGTAGAGATGGGGTCTCCCTATGTTGCCCAGGCTGGTCTTGAACTCCTGGACTCAAGTAATCTCCTTGCCATGGCCTTCCAAAGTGCTGGGATTACAGGTGTGAGCCACCATGCCCAACCCCTTTTACTCAATAAGTCTGACTACATATCTTTCAAAGATCTGTATGACTTTACTGTGTACCTAGGGAAAAAAACAGAAGGAATATTCACCAAACTCTTAATGGTCACCTCTGGATGGCAGGAGCATATCAGGGCTTTCACTCTCTATATCATACTCTTCTTTGTCTGCAATTTTATAATCAGGGCGAACTAATTTTCTAGGAAGAATATTTGGGGGGGTAGAAAAACCTTTCCTCTAGTCTTACATTAACAGATGCAAGTTTCTATAAATAACATATTTCACTTTTTATCTTAATTTTGTTAATAAAATTTTCTCTTTTATGACATTTAATTTCCATTATCAGCTGGTTTCATCCTCTATAACTTGTAGGTTTTGGAAATGTTGAGTCAATGAATTCTAATGCCACTCTAGAAACACTTTCAGTTAAATTGTTCAAATATAATAGAGTACCACCTTGAGGAAATCTGAAATAGCAAGGATTGCAGAGTATGGAAGAAACTGAATCCCAGTCCCTCCCACACCCATTCCGGAATGCATATCACCATCACCCAGCATGTTACAGCATGCCTGATGTGTAAGCACTGTGTGAGGCTCTGGTCTCTGCCCTTGAGGAGCCTTCCACACAGCTTGAAAAAGAGGACACACATCCAACATCACAAGTCAGCTATTGGCTCCAGTAGCAAATACTACACATGGTACTGACAATGAGTTCAGAGGACGAAGAGAAAGGACTTTGAAATTCCTGCTTAAATAGGTCCTTTACAAGAAGAGGTAGCTCTTACTTCCATATTCCCACAGCTTAGCACAATAAGTAATTTTTTTTTAAGTTAATGAGTGCATGGGACCCACACTTGGAGACGAAAAGGTATGACATTCCAAGCTGGAAGAATGGTGGCAGCAAGAAAGGGCATGATTGGAATGTGCATGTTCAGCTATGTAAAGTGTAAAGAGAGGGATAGAAAGTTGGAAAACCCAATTTGTTGAACTCTCATCTCACAGCCAGTGAGAGACTACAGAGGACTTTGATTATGCAAAGGCGACCTATTTATGTAACTGTCTTCCTTTCTAGGTTCCCTGAGGAACCTGAGGGTGACAGCTGGGTCTTAAGGACTCTGGATCCCTACCATATCCTGGAACATGACAGGTATTCAATTAAATGTGAGGGAAAGGAAAGAAGGATTGATTAGGCTGGAAAGATTATGCTAATGCCACAATACTGAAGGTTCTAGAAAAATAAGGAACCAGAAATCAAAGTGAGAGGTGCTTTCTTTTTTTATAATTTTTTTTTAAGACAGGGTCTTGCTATGTTGCCCAGGCTGGTCTGAAACTCCTAGCCTCAAGTGATCCTCCAACCTTTGCCTCCCAAAGTGTTCGGATTACAGGGGTGAGCCACCATGCCCATACTGAATTATTTACTTAATGCAGATTCTTTGGGTTCCAACAACGATAGGATGATGATGATGATGATGACGACGATGACATATTCTGTGTGAGAGCAGGATGAACATGACAGTCCCAGCTTTAGGGAACTAACAGGTGGCTGGGTGAGCAGATTGTCTAAGGCTCATGTGGTAGGCAGCCCAGGTCTCCTGAATCCTAGGTGAGGTCCCTCCCAGCTAGGTGGGACAGCTTCCTCCCAGAGGCCAGAGGTGCTTTCTATCCACCATTTTTTTTTTTTTTTTTTGAGACAGGGTCTTGCTTTGTCATCCAGGCTGGACTGCAGTGGCACGATCATGGCTTACTGCAGCCTTGACCTCCTGGGCTCAAATGATCCTTCTACCTCAGCCTCCTGAGTAGCTGGGATCACAGGCACATGCCACTACACCTGGCTAACTTTTTTTATTTTTAGTAGAGACGAGGTCATGCTACATTGCGCAGGCTGGTCTTGAACTCCTAGGTTCAAGCAATCCTCTCACCTTGGCCTTCCAAAGTGCTAGGATTACAAGTGTGAGCCACCAAGGCTAAGGCTAGCCTCCATCCACCTCTTGATATACGCAAGACAGTGATTCTCCAAAGACTCCTCACCTTGTTTCAAGCTGAGTCAACAAAAATCCTCTCACGTACTACCATGAATGTAGCTGGGAAACACTGCCCTAAGCAGTAGAAAAGTTTGGGGAGAGGGGGGCAGTTGTTTATCAACCCATCAACAACTACTTATCTGCCATTCCAGTGCTTCCACAAATTCTTAGAGATCAACAATATCCTGCGTCTTATTTTTAACATATTTCTGGGTAGGGCAATAAGGAGCAGAAGTCACTGGGAGTAACCATGGTAGACGTAACTGGGAGCATGGTGGGTTTCAGGAAATGTAAGATCCCTCTTTTCCTTATCAATCCTTCCTTCATAAGCACTTTCTATTTCCTCCAGTCTGACACTTCCTGCATTATAATCAGTGTTTCTATAGGACTTCGTAATTTTCAAAGGCTTTTGAATTCCATCTTATTTAACCTTCATCACCACCTTTATAAACAAAGCATATCCTAGTAGCCCATCCCTGCGGATGAAAAAGCCTAAATCCGTAGACTGAATGAAGATAGGGAAAGAGACCCTATTACAGTTACTGGTGTCAATAATAAATAGCACAGGTAGAAGAATGCTTCCAGTGTGCCATTCCTTGTAGGCTGTCTTCTAGCTGTTTCATTGTGCAGGCAGAGTGCGCATCCTACACTTCTCAATGCTGGCAATAATAGAAGTAATACTACTTATCAAATGGATGTTTAACCAAAGTTGGGAGATAACTATCAGACTTTAAAGCTCTCTTCCTAAAAAGACCATAATTTAATATAGCAGTTTTCATAAGAAAGATGTTAACTGCAACACTCCCCAATTATTATCTTCTAAAATACATTATAAGAGGACATAAAGAGGACTGTTAAATAATCAAGAATGAATTCACTATTTCTAAAAATGCTTTACCAGCCTGGACAACCCAGTGAGACCCCATCTCTGCAAAAAATTTTAAAAATTAGCTGGACATGGTGGCACATGCCTATAATCCCAGCACTCTGGGAAGCCGTGATGGGAGGACTGTTTGAGTCCAGGAGTTTGAGAACAGCCTGGGCAACACTGTGAAACCCCATCTTTATAAAAAATAAAAATAAGCTAGCTAGGCATGGTGGTGCACACTCGTGGTCCCAGCTACTCAGGAGACTGAGGTAGGAGGATTGCTTAAGCCTGAGAGGTCGAGGTTGCGGTGAGCTGTGATCGTGCCACTGTACTCCAGCCTGGGTGACACAGCCTGACCCTGCTTCAGAAAAACAAAGACAAAAAAGAACAAACACCAGAGGTATGTGTCCTGCGGTAAAGTGCAGGGATGGTGGCGGTGGATTTAGATGCGGTGGGAACATCTAAGGAAAACTGGGCTCTGCTGCAGCTCTACTCCCAACAAATTTTGATGATCCTCAGGCAAGACACAAAGACATGCTATAAACTGAAATTTGTTACCATATACTTTTTTTTTTTTTTAAAGACAGTCTCGCTCTGTCACTCAGGTTGGAGTGCACTGGCACGATCTCGGCTCACTGCAACCTCCGCCTCCCAGGTACAAGCGATTCTCCCACCTCAGCCTCCCCAGTAGCTGGGATTACAGGTGTGCGCCACCATGCCCAGCTAATTTTTGAATTATTTATTCCTTTTTTTCTTTTCTTTTCTTTTTTTGAGACAGCGTCTTCCTCTGTTGCCCAGGCTGGAAGGCAGTGGTACAATCTCGGCTCACTGCAACCTCCACCTCCTGGGTTCAAGTGATTCTTCTGCCTCAGCTTCCTGAGTAGCTGGGATTACAGGTGCCCACCACCATGCCCGGCTAATTTTTGTATTTTTAGTAGAGACGGGGTTTCACCATGTTGACCAGGCTGGTCTCAAACTCCTGACCTCAGGTGATCCACCTGTCTCGGCCTCCCAAAGTGCTGGGATTATGAGCCACCATGCCTGGCCTACTTTTTGTATTTTTAGTAGAGACTGGCTTTCACCATGTTGGCCAGGCTGGCCTCGAACTCCTGACCTCAAGAGATCCACCTGCTTCGGCGTCCCAAAGTGCTGGGATTACATGCCTGAGCCACCGTACCTGGCTTGTTACCATATACTTTTATAGCACAGTACTTCACATTGATTAAAGAACTCTCATACTAACTGTGTCATTTAACATACACAACCACCAAGCAAAGGAGACAGGACAAACAGTAGCATCCCATTTCCAAGGCTGAGTGCAGTAATGGAAAAAATAAGAGTTTTTATGAATAAGACAATCTGAGTTCAAATCCCAGGCATCTTGTTCAACTTTTCAGAGGCTTTGTTTCATCCTAAGTAAAGTGTAGACAGTACATACACCTCATGGTCTTTTAGAATGAGTCAAGGATTGAGTACTGCACGTATACAGTACTCAATGTTTCCTTCCATCATTCCACAGAAGGAAGGGCTACAAGTTCACACACCTACTCTGACTTTAAAGCTCCAAGCAGATTATCTTTCAACTCCCATGCTCAACCTTTCCGTGCTCAGATTCAAGAATGTAACTCAGCATCTCTTTAAAAGGTGTTTAAAAGATTAGTCACTGAGATACTCTACTAAAAGTTTTTTGTTCAAGTAGATTTGTGAAATGTCACTCTCTTGAAATCTCACAAAGTGTGTATGTGTGTATATATATGTATGATACCGAAGGTTCTGAGAAGTCTTGCAATAAAGAAATCTATTTGAACTCATTCTAACTAGCATTTCCCAAAAGTGCATTTAATGGAATCCTTTTTTACATAATTACCATAAACATCCACACAGACCTAACTTTCTTTTAAACATACTTTTAGGAAAAATGGTTTTGATAAATTCATGTCTAACAAATTATAATAATAGATTAGATTATAATAGATTAACAATATTAATAACAATAGATATTATTATAGGACAGGGCACAAGAAATTATCCTTTAAACAAGATCCCTAAATCATTCTTTTGCAGCCTGCATTGAAATTGCACATTGCCTAGCGTCAAATTCAGAAAAATTTATTTAGGCAACTAAGACATTTTTATTTTTGGATTTCAGAATAAGTCTGCCACAGACACAAAGATTCCAAGAAGTGGCTCATAATGTCATCTAGCAGAAGACACACTTGGGGAAAAAGGTGGGGGAGGGGTATTATGTTTTGTTGCAAAATTGATTTTGTATGAGGTTTCTTACTCCCCAAATCTACCTTCAGAAAACGGTAGTATCTAATGATCTAATGCCACATCACTACCTCTCCTGTCCTTATCCTTGGTCTCCTGATGACCGCAGAAAGCAAGAGAGAGCCAGAGTGGAACGAGTGAGCTGTTAACTATAAATTACAAAAATGAGGACTCCTTTTTTCTCTGAAAACCAAGAAAGCGGTTACTCTGTCACAATCCAAAAAAAAAGGAAATTAATCAATCATCAGTATTTGTCCTGAAATTTTCCGCAGAGGTCTCTGGTGTGATTAAAAACGTGGGGGAAGGTCAGGCGCGGTGGCTCGCGCCTATAATCCCAGCACTTTGGGAGGCCGACACGGGAGGATTACCTGAGGTCAGACCAGCCTGGTCAACTAAAAATACAAAAATTAGCCGGGCGTGGTGGTGCGCGTCTGTAATCTCAGCTACTCGGAAGGCTGAGGCACCAGAATCGCTTGAACCCCGGAAGCAGAGGTTGCACCACTGTATTCCAGCCTGGGAGACAGAACAAGACTCTGTCTCAAACAAAACAAAACAAAACAAAACAAAACGTGGGGAAGAGGCCGGGTGCCATGGTTCACGCCTGTAATTCCAGCACTTTGGGAGGCTGAGGTGGGTGAATCACTTGAGGTCAGGAGTTTGAGACCAGCCTGGTGAAACCCTCTTCTACTAAAAATATAAAAATTAGCTGGGTGTGGTGGCACATGTCTGTAATCCCAGCTACTGGAGAGGCTGCGACAGAAGAATCGCTTGAAGCTGGGAGGCAGAGGTTGCAGTGAGCTGAGCTCACACCACTGCACTCCAGCCTGGGCAACAGAGCGAGACTCCGCCTCAAAACAAAAACAAAAACCGTGGAGAAAATGCTAAACTCGATTTCTTCTGAACCTATGCTAAGATGTCAAGGTACTGTGATTCTTCTAAAAGAATTTTAAAGGTTGTTATGTTTGGTGTCCTAAAAGTGTACATGGATTTTATATTATAACCTACATCAAGAAACTCATTCAGGCCAGGCGCCTTGGCTCATGCCTGTAATCTCAGCACTTTGGGAGGCCAAGAATTCCAGACTAGCCTGGGCAATATGGCGAAACCCCGTCTCTACAAAAAATACAAAAATTAGCCAGGCATGGTGGCTCTCCCTTCAGTCCCAACTACTCGAGAGGCTGGGGCAGGAGGATGCCTTAAGCCCAAGGAGGTAGAGGCTGCAGTGAGCTGTGATTGCACCACTCCACTCCACTCCAGCCTGGGAACAGAGTGAGACTCTCAAAGAAAAAAAAAAAAAAGCCTTATTCACAGATAATTTTTTTTAAAAATGGAAACTAAAATAGAATTTAAAACCCAAGCTGCTCAGTTTCTTGGAAGATGGATTTTTCCTACTTGGTAATATACTTTGTATATCTCGACTATTATTGTGCATGCAAGCACCTCTAAGAAGTACTTGTATCTGCAATGAATTCTTAAACCTCAGGGAGCCAAATAAAAAGACAAGGCCCGAGGAATTCTTTCAAAAATTAAAGTAACATTTCATATTTGCTTATTCTAACAGACAAAGAATAAAGAAGGAATCCGCTAAGTTGCAAGCTGAGGTGCAGACAAGTGCTGGTTCACAGTGACATCCTAGAAGGAATGCTCTGGATAAGAGCTTCAAGCTTCTGTGGTTTTCTGAGGAAAGTGAACGGAATCTAGACGTGTCCTATAGCTCAAAAAATCAGCGCTATGGACCACAGCGCCTAACAGAGTAAAATAATACACTGTGCAGTTTGGCCACTAACAGCAAGAGTGGGAAGGGGCGAAGAGGAACCTTGATTGCCCGACACCAGGGCCACCTGAAAAGTCATCTTGACACTTCAGTCTTTCCATTTTGAGATCGGAAGCTTTAAGGACCATTAAATCGCTGCCGCTGCCACACCAGGCCCGACGGAGCAGAAAGGCTGCGCTCACCTGCGGAAGCGACCGGGTGCACACCTGCCGGGTGGCGAGGCCCGCACCGTCACACCCCGCCCCGGCTTACCTGCCCTTCGGTGATTTTTAGCGTCAACTTCCATCCCTTCCCACCCATCTGGATCCAACCAAGCGCAAGGGCGGGGGAGGGAGAAGCTAGTGTCGCGAGGAAAAGCATCCCCGCAACCCACCGCAGGCTTTCTCTCCTTCCTCCCCATTCCACACAAGAGGCAGCCACACCGCCTCTCCTAACCCTCGTCTCCAATGCAAGGCCTGAAATACTTAGAAAAAATAATAACTGTTTTTAAGGAAAAGTAACATCCCCGCTCCCTTCCGCCCCTCACCTTCACGAAAGCAATCGGGGTTGTGGTACCTTCGATATCTAACAGGATCACGGTGACTTCGGCGGGGACCGAAAGCACGACCATTTCCCTACCGGATGCTACGGGACTCGGCCTGCTGTTGGGGAGGGCGGAGGGCGGCGCCGGCTGCGGCTGCGGCCCCCGGTACCGTCTTGGGCTTCCGGCGGCCCCGCGCGATCTCGGAGCCAGCGACCAAGTGCAGCCCGCCGCGCGTGGGGAGAGGACACTTCTGCACACCTGGAACTGGAAAAGGCGGCCGCCCAGGAGCCCTGAACTCGTGAGCAGGACGGGGCAGGAGCCCGAGACCACGTGGGCAGGAAAAGGGGCGGCCCTTGACGGGTTCGGCGGGGCGGGGAGGGTGAAGGCGCCAGCGCCGATTGGCCGCCGTCAGGCCTCGAACTGGATCCGTCAAAATGGGCCTCGCGTGGGCGGGAACAAAGAAGCGAACGCGGGAGCAGGGTGCGCGAGAGCGCGCCCTCCGCAGACAGGTTGAGCGAGCGGGAGAGGCCCGGGGCACGTGCAGAAAGGAGCCCCGCGAGTGGCGCGCCGGGGATGTGAGTGCCCCTTGCCCTCTACTGAATCCAGCCCCCTCCCCGCCCACCGCCTCCGCCTTTGCATAGATACAGTCATCTGGCCAGCCCCCGCCCCTCCTCCCGGCGTCAGCCCGCCAGAGGCCGCGCGGGGCCCGGGCTTCGGCCGATCAGCCCGGGAGGCCCCGCCGCGCCCCCTTGGCCCGCGCGCCCGTGGTCACAGTGGAAGAGGCGCCCGCGCTGCGCTGCCCGGAGGAGCCGTCGCGCGCCCGCTTCCTGTTCGGCTGGTTCCTGCCAGCTCGAGGACAAAACACGCGTGCGCGCGGCGGGCGAGCGCGCTCGCCGCCTCAGTCGCCAGCGCCGGGCGCAGTCCGCCTTTTTCCGGAGCAGACTGGCCGCGGTGCTAGTCGGTAGCAGCGGCCGCCGCAGCGGCTCCGCACTGGCGAACCGAGGGCAGAAAAAGGCGGGGTTGACGGCTTTTTGGTAGGAGTGGGCTGGACCGGACGCCAGAGACAAAGGCTCCCAAGGCAAGAGGGACTGTGGCCCTGCGTCGGCTCTGCTCGGGACTGCTGACCCCAGGAATTTACGCCCCTTCGTTTTTCTCTTCTGATTCTTCTCTTCTCCCAAGCCCGCGTCCCCTCACGCGTGGCCTCTCTCCTTGCCGGGAGGGCCGCGATGGAGGTCCCGCCCAGGCTTTCCCATGTGCCGCCGCCATTGTTCCCCTCCGCTCCCGCTACTTTAGCCTCCCGCAGCCTCTCCCATTGGCGGCCGCGGCCGCCGCGGCAGCTAGCCCCGCTCCTCCCTTCGCTCGCTCCCAGCTCCGCCCGGCAGGGGGCGCGCCGGGCCCAGCGCCACGTCACCGCCCAGCAGCCCTCCCGATTGGCGGGCGGGGCGGCTATAAAGGGAGGGCGCAGGCGGCGCCCGGATCTCTTCCGCCGCCATTTTAAATCCAGCTCCATACAACGCTCCGCCGCCGCTGCTGCCGCGACCCGGACTGCGCGCCAGCACCCCCCTGCCGACAGCTCCGTCACTATGGAGGATATGAACGAGTACAGCAATATAGAGGAATTCGCAGAGGGATCCAAGATCAACGCGAGCAAGAATCAGCAGGATGACGGGTACCGCACGCTTCTTCCCCCGCTCCCCCTCCCCCAGCGCGCCGCACGCGCCCTTCGTTCCTCGTGAGCCGCGCGCTGCCCCCATTCTTTCTCAGAGTCGATTCCCCGCGTGCCTTCTGGGCCCCACTAGATTGGAGGGAAGAGGAAAGTAAGAGATCGAGGGGGTGACTGGAGAGACCCGGGAAGAGTGGGGGAAGGGCGGAGGGGTTGGAGGAGGAGGGCGGCGGCGTCTGTGTCCCGAGCGCGCAGGCGCCGCGTGGGACCCGGGGGGGAGGGGCCGGCCTCCCAGCGCTGCACGCTGCAGCTGCCGCCGCCTCTTCATTGTGTCTCTGTTACCACTCGGCGCGGTTTTCCTGGGAAGAGTTTTAGAGGACTGAGTTGGGGCACAAGCAGGCGACTGGTACCCAGATTCACAAAACGTGTTATGATTGATGAGTTCTCTGGGTGGAACGTTGGCTTGACAGCTGAGAACGAAGATGGACCTAAGTAAGATAAGATGTGAGGGATTCATCTAGGAAGTTGTGCCTTCTACCTAAAGGAATCTGGGCAGAACCTTTACTGTATTTTATTGGTCTCTTTTGAGCTTTGCTTTATGTAGTGCGGACAGTGAGCTGTCCGCTGGTTTGAGTAACTTCGTTGGGATATTGGGATTTTTGTGTGACATAGATTAAATGTAAACATGAATTAAATTGCCTACACTTAGGGGGTAAATGTCCCTGTTTTTATTTCACGATTTAATTCCAGAACTGAAGGATCATTTGAGTTATTGTTAATTTTTTTTAAAAACACTTTTATTTCTAGTAAAATGTTTATTGGAGGCTTGAGCTGGGATACAAGCAAAAAAGATCTGACAGAGTACTTGTCTCGATTTGGGGAAGTTGTAGACTGCACAATTAAAACAGATCCAGTCACTGGGAGATCAAGAGGATTTGGATTTGTGCTTTTCAAAGATGCTGCTAGTGTTGATAAGGTAGGAACTATGTTTTGCATTGTGCTGCTTTTGTGGTGTTTTGCAAATTTTTCTGGGGGTTATATGGTGCTGTCAGATTAAATAAATCTGTCTTGTAGGTTTTGGAACTGAAAGAACACAAACTGGATGGCAAATTGATAGATCCCAAAAGGGCCAAAGCTTTAAAAGGGAAAGAACCTCCCAAAAAGGTTTTTGTGGGTGGATTGAGCCCGGATACTTCTGAAGAACAAATTAAAGAATATTTTGGAGCCTTTGGAGAGGTGTGTGATTATGTTTACACATGTTAAGCTTGATGTGTTTATAAAATGTTCAATCCTTGTCCGATTTATGCAGGGCAGATTCATGTTTCCTGTAAGAGTAGAATTAAATGACTGCTCAAGTCGCTTCCAGTGACTGTACCTTGATTTCATTGCTGCTCTGATGGAAACCCAACTATCTAATTTAGCTAAAACATGGGCACTTAAATGTGGTCAGTGTTTGGACTTGTTAACTAGTGGCATCTTTGGGTACAAAATAATATTAATTTCTCTCAATGCTTCAAATATACAACAAATCACTGTAGGCTGATGTTGATCATAAAGCAGTGATGTCTGTATAGAAGTCACCCGATAAGAATAACATGTTTAAGTTGAAGCCTGAAAAGGCCTTTGGCATTCTGACACTGTAACGTTTTACAATTATGGGATGACGTTGAGTGTGCATCTCGATTTCAGATTGAAAATATTGAACTTCCCATGGATACAAAAACAAATGAAAGAAGAGGATTTTGTTTTATCACATATACTGATGAAGAGCCAGTAAAAAAATTGTTAGAAAGCAGATACCATCAAATTGGTTCTGGGAAGGTAAAGCCATTTAAGCACTTTAAATGAAAATTTAAATAATTGAAATAATTTCTTGATGTGGAGAAAAATAAAATGATTTAATTTTAGAACTTCGGTAAAAATTATACTTTCATGTTTTTTGTTTATAGTGTGAAATCAAAGTTGCACAACCCAAAGAGGTATATAGGCAGCAACAGCAACAACAAAAAGGTGGAAGAGGTGCTGCAGCTGGTGGACGAGGTGGTACGAGGGGTCGTGGCCGAGGTGAGACTTAATTCTTGAAATATGACTCCGTGGTTTATTTAAGCTGTATACTGCTGAATATGAGTAGTCCTGTACCAAAGCAAAACTTTAAACTTAAAACCATTCCAGCGGAGGGGGGACTGTTCAGCTTAGTGGAGGTTGTGTGTGGTGGTTTTTTGTTGTGAGCTCACTGGTTTCAAAAAACTGTTAAAAGTGTGGCCACTTTGACAATTAGTGTCATCACTGATAGGAAAAGTGTACCATTACATGATACACCGTGGTGTGATAGGTTTTCTTGGGCAGGAGTCCTTGTTTTAAACAGAACAGTGTACCTGTCTTCGGCTTTAATGGAAAATTGAATGATTTTCCATTAAGTTTAGGAAGTTTGATACTGGCACAATTGGACTTTCTGCCTCCTTTTTTATAACAGCTGGAAAAATAGTTTTTCAAGCAGATAGCAATATATATGTCCATTCTGCCCTTTAAGATTTGCAGAGTGAGAGACAAGAACGCATCATTTTATGTTAGAATTGGGGGTCAGAAGTTGTTTCCTAACAATCATTGTGCATTGTTTCAGGTCAGGGCCAAAACTGGAACCAAGGATTTAATAACTATTATGATCAAGGATATGGAAATTACAATAGTGCCTATGGTGGTGATCAAAACTATAGTGGCTATGGCGGATATGATTATACTGGGTATAACTATGGGAACTATGGATATGGACAGGGATATGCAGACTACAGTGGTAAGAATATTTAACTTAATTTTATAAAGCAGTGGTATTAAAATTCATTGTTAACATACAATCCTGTTCTGAAATTGTGTGTATGGGCTTTCCATTAAAGTGTTCGGAGTTAAGTGTTTGAGGCATGTTACAATCATAGGATGATTATACTAACATAGACTGGTGGTTATAAATGAACTAGGATGTATGATTTATGAGTAGCATCTAATGGGTGCTAAAATATCTTAATACTTTTTATTTAGCATGCAAAGATTTGTAGATTTAATAGTTTGTGTTTGTAAAGAAAGTTTTGTAGAAAACTATCTTAATGAGAATTCTGTGTTTTCAAAATAGGCCAACAGAGCACTTATGGCAAGGCATCTCGAGGGGGTGGCAATCACCAAAACAATTACCAGCCATACTAAAGGAGAACATTGGAGAAAACAGGTGTGTATAAGAGTACAGGAAAACAGTAGAAATGTCTAATTTAATTTAAAGATCAATAGACAAATGAAACGTAAAAACAAAATACTATGTAGCCTGTTTTTACTAAATTGTTGATTTTTTAATTGCTTTATGAGCCTGTTTTGCCTAAAGTGTCTATAGATCTTTAACTTTAAAGTCTTATCTCACTTTCTTTAGTATTGCAGAAAAACTTAAGAGTTTTTCTGTTTGCTTTTGTGTACCAGGTGGTCTAGAGGAATAATTAAACATTTTAGAACTATTAACAGGTAAAGTACTGAAATGGGTACAACTTAAGGAAAACAAGAATGTTGTCTTCTAACTCTGACATTATACCTTGTTTGTACCCGCCAGCGGGAACTTCATTGCAGGCCGTGTGTCACCCTGACCACGTCTATCTCTGGGGGTCGCACGTTGCGGGCAGAGCGCAAGGCATACACCAGAAAACGCTGTCCTGTGGTATGGTCTCTTCCAACTTCATGTACCAGCGTAAAGATTAAAGTGGAAAACTTCAGACTTTGGCTTCATTTTTAATCTTTTTGGAGATTAAGTGTCTAAACTTAACTTAAATGGTTTTTTACAGGAGTTAAAGTACATAAATGCCTTTTTACAGCTTAATCATTTTGGTCTTCTGTTTAGTGTTGTATTTCAATTGTGGAGCCTCATTTTAAGTGTTCATTCTTTTAAGATTTAATGCTTGCTTTTTCTTTTTATAGCTAATAGTGAAATCTACAAACCAAAACAAGAACTTTTAAATCTGGGATATAAATTAAAGATCATATGCACAGATCAATTTATGTTCTTGTAATAAACTTATTAGAAATTGGTGTTTGTGATAGCATTTTACTTGGGTTACTAGAGATGCTTCTAGTAGACCTTAATCTAGCATAGTTGAACCTCTGAATATGGGAAGGTTGTATTCCCAGATTCTTTCCTGAATAGATTTGAATTTAATGTCATTTGGGAACTCCAGGGTGAGTTTATTGACTACCCAAACTGTATTTTACCAATAAATATGCATATGATCTTTAATTATTGAAGAAAATAAAGTGAGGACTTAAAACAATTCATGAAAGTGGACCTTTAAAAGCTTGTCAGAGTTGCACAAATCTAACTGGTATTTTGTTTTTGTTTTTAGGAGGAGATGTTAAAGTAACCCATCTTGCAGGACGACATTGAAGATTGGTCTTCTGTTGATCTAAGATGATTATTTTGTAAAAGACTTTCTAGTGTACAAGACACCATTGTGTCCAACTGTATATAGCTGCCAATTAGTTTTCTTTGTTTTTACTTTGTCCTTTGCTATCTGTGTTATGACTCAATGTGGATTTGTTTATACACATTTTATTTGTATCATTTCATGTTAAACCTCAAATAAATGCTTCCTTATGTGATTGCTTTTCTGCGTCAGGTACTACATAGCTCTGTAAAAAATGTAATTTAAAATAAGCAATAATTAAGGCACAGTTGATTTTGTAGAGTATTGGTCCATACAGAGAAACTGTGGTCCTTTATAAATAGCCAGCCAGCGTCACCCTCTTCTCCAATTTGTAGGTGTATTTTATGCTCTTAAGGCTTCATCTTCTCCCTGTAACTGAGATTTCTACCACACCTTTGAACAATGTTCTTTCCCTTCTGGTTATCTGAAGACTGTCCTGAAAGGAAGACATAAGTGTTGTGATTAGTAGAAGCTTTCTAGTAGACCATATTTCTTCTGGATTGTAATAAAATTGTTAGTAGCTCCTTTTACTTTGTTCCTGTCTCTGGAAAGCCATTTTTGAATTGCTGATTACTTTGGCTTTAATCAGTGGTCACCTAGAAAAAGCTTTGTAATCATAACACAATGAGTAATTCTTGATAAAAGTTCAGATACAAAAGGAGCACTGTAAAACTGGTAGGAGCTATGGTTTAAGAGCATTGGAAGTAGTTACAACTCAAGGATTTTGGTAGAAAGGTATGAGTTTGGTCGAAAAATTAAAATAGTGGCAAAATAAGATTTAGTTGTGTTTTCTCAGAGCCGCCACAAGATTGAACAAAATGTTTTCTGTTTGGGCATCCTGAGGAAGTTGTATTAGCTGTTAATGCTCTGTGAGTTTAGAAAAAGTCTTGATAGTAAATCTAGTTTTTGACACAGTGCATGAACTAAGTAGTTAAATATTTACATATTCAGAAAGGAATAGTGGAAAAGGTATCTTGGTTATGACAAAGTCATTACAAATGTGACTAAGTCATTACAAATGTGACTGAGTCATTACAGTGGACCCTCTGGGTGCATTGAAAAGAATCCGTTTTATATCCAGGTTTCAGAGGACCTGGAATAATAAAAAGCTTTGGATTTTGCATTCAGTGTAGTTGGATTTTGGGACCTTGGCCTCAGTGTTATTTACTGGGATTGGCATACGTGTTCACAGGCAGAGTAGTTGATCTCACACAACGGGTGATCTCACAAAACTGGTAAGTTTCTTATGCTCATGAGCCCTCCCTTTTTTTTTTTAATTTGGTGCCTGCAACTTTCTTAACAATGATTCTACTTCCTGGGCTATCACATTATAATGCTCTTGGCCTCTTTTTTGCTGCTGTTTTGCTATTCTTAAACTTAGGCCAAGTACCAATGTTGGCTGTTAGAAGGGATTCTGTTCATTCAACATGCAACTTTAGGGAATGGAAGTAAGTTCATTTTTAAGTTGTGTTGTCAGTAGGTGCGGTGTCTAGGGTAGTGAATCCTGTAAGTTCAAATTTATGATTAGGTGACGAGTTGACATTGAGATTGTCCTTTTCCCTGATCAAAAAATGAATAAAGCCTTTTTAAACAAAATCCAAACTTTTAATCAAGTCTTGATATGTATGACTGAGAAAAAATACACTACATCTAGAGATGATTGAGATGTTTTGCAAAGAATTGAAGGGGGAGTGAGAATTGGTTTTTCTTGCAGGGGCTTTGAACTCTAGATTTGGGCTTTGAACTCTAGATTTAATTCAGATTTCAGGGTCTATCAGTTCACCAACTGATGCAAATTTGAACAGATACTCTAAGGCTAAGTGTCCTAGGTTGGATGAACTGAAGCTACTATCAAGATCTCGTTCCCAAGGATTAATTTAGAACAAAGTAATTGGACAAGTTTATTGGGGAGGGGATAGAAATGAATTCTAAAGTACCTATAACAAATACTCTGTGTATGTTTTTTACATCGTATTTGCCTTTTACATTGTTTAGACCAAATTCTGTGTGATGTTATCCTCGGGAAGAGGATAGAAATTAATTCTAAAGTACCTATAACAAATGCTCGGTTTGTATATGTTTTTATACATCGTATTTGCCTTTTGCATTGTTCAGACCAAATTCTGTGTGATGTTATCCTAACAAAACACCTTAGTAATTTCTTTGGTTAACATGTTAATCTGTAATCTCACTTTTATAAGATGAGGACTATTAAAATGAGATGTCTGTTGGGATGCTAGCGTGGATAAGCAGAGCTTATTCCATTACTCTTCAGTGGATCTTTATTTTCATAATGGCAGAGATCCTCACTAATCTTCACAAAACTTAATACAAGGGCATATCTGAACAATTAAGCTACTTTCCAGTACCAAGATTTGATTTAATGTCAATCAGGATGCTAGGCTGCGTGCTGTAGATCATGCCTGTAATCCCAAGCACTTTGGGAGGCCAAGGCAAGTACATTACTTGAGTCCAGCCTGGGCAACATGGCAAAACCCCGTCTCTACAAAAACTACGAAAATTAGCTCGATGTGATGGTGCACACCTGTAGTCCCAGCTACTTGGGCTGAGGCGGGACGATTGCTTGAACCAGGGAGGTGAAGTGTGCAGTGAGTCATGTTTGCGCCAGTGCACTCCACCCTGGGCGACAAAGTGAGACCCTGTCTCAAAAAATCACAGGATGCTAAACTTCACCAATTAAAAAGTTGACTAAGCTGGCCGCACGCAGTGGCTCATCCCTGTAATCCTAGTACTTTGGGAGGCCGAGGCAGGTGAATGGCTTGAGTCCAGGAGTTCAAGACCATCCTGGCCAATATGTCAAAACCCCAGCTCTACTAAAAATAGAAAAATTAGCCGGGCGTGGTGCTGTGCTTAGGTGAGAGGATTGCTGGAGCCCAGGAGGTAGAGGTTGTAGTGAGATTTGTGCTCCAGCCTGGGCAACAGAGTGAGAACTTGTCAAAAAAAAAAAAGTTGACTAAGGCCAGGTGTGTTGGCTGCAGTTGAGCTATGGTCGCTCCATTGCACTCTTATCTGGCCTAGGCAACAGAGTGAGACCCTGTCTTTAATTTTTTTAAAAGTTGATTCAAAAACATGTAAGTGTATGAATAATTTTTAGTTATAGATGTGTGTGTATACCATTTGAATTGATTCTTGAGTAGTTAGAAAGGGTCATTCATAGAAAACCCCCTTTCCTTAAACTTTCAGCGAAATAGAGTTGACATCTAATCTGTGGTTTCAACTTTAAGCAAAAACAATCTAAATTTATATATTTTTTATAGTCACTAGAAAATATTGTTTATAAATATATAGGCTGTTCTTTTAGGATTGGTTGGGGTCTTACATTTGTCTTGAAATAGATTAGATGTGGAATTTCAGCAAGATTTAGTTAATAGCAAAAAATAAAAATACACCTTAGACTTTACTACTTTTTATAAACGGTAGGAAAGGATATACTGATGTTGTGGGTATTACAAGGTAATGCTGAACATTCTGAAGACCTTAACTTCTGCTGCTCTTCCCTCCCCCTCCCCCCGCCCCAACAAGAATGAGGTTGGAATTGTGCTTTTTTTTTTTTTTTTCTTTCCTTCCCTGAGTCGGAGTTTCACTCTTGTTGCCCAGGCTGGAGTGCAGGCTGGAGTGAGTGGAGTGATCTGGGCTCACCGTAACCTCCTCCTCCCGGGTTCAAGCGATTCTCCTGACTCAGCCTCCCAAGTAGCTGGGATTACAGGCATCTGCCACCATGCCTGGCTAGAATTTTTGTATTTTTAGTAGAGACAGGGCTTCGCCATGTCGGTCAGGCTGCTCTCGAACTCCTGACCTCAGGTGATCCACCCGCCTCGACCTCCCAAAGTCCTGGGGTTACAAGCATGAGCCACCGTGCCCCGCGGGAATTGTGCTATTCTTAAGTGTCAGTTTAATCTCTGGTTTTACCCTTTAAAGACATGTACCACTTCAAAGAGACCACTCAAAGAGATATACCCATTCGGAGAGCTGTATCATAATCTTGGAGAGTAGTGAGACTAAAGTGTAGTTTGAAAAAGTATATTCAGCCAGACGCAGTGGCTGGCTCATGCCTGTAATCCCAGCACTTTGGGAGGCTGAGGCGCGCGGATCACGAGGTCAGGAGTTTTAGACCAACCTGGCCAATATGGTGAAACCCCATCTGTACCAAAAATACAAAAAAGCAGGGTGTGGTGGTGGGCGAGTGTAATCCCAGCTACTTGGGAGGCTGAGGCAGGAGAATGTTGTGAACCCGGGAGGCAGAGGTTGCAGTGAGCCAAGATAGCGCCACTGCACTCCAGCCTGGGCGACAGAGTGAGACTCCATCTCAAAAAAAGAAAAAAAAAAAAAAAGTATATTCAACATAATGTTGTCACTTAAAATCCAAATAACCAAAAAGGCTAATTTTGGTTTCTTAAAGACCAGCACAAGCTAGAAAATGTGAGAAACTTTACTTGCAGGCAAGTTTTTCTCATACTCTTCCAATGGTAATCTCCTTTTGGGAGTCTGACCAAAAGTGAATTCTCTTCAAACCCAAAAAAATGCATGTCTATAAATATTTTCAATGTAGTTTCAGGAAAATTAGAGACTTAGAAAACTGTTTTAAAATGCTCTTGAAGCTGTTGGCTTTTATGGTAACAAACTGACTAAAATTGATTGAATTTGTTGTAATTGATGAGGTTCCACAAAGGGAGTTTCTTCATATGTTCTCCACCTTCCACCTGGGTATTTGTATTGGCTGGTGAACACTCATAGGGGATTGTTTTATTGATGACAGGGTCTCACTCTGTCGCCCAGGCTGGAGTGCAGTGATGCCATCACGTCTCACTACAGCCTCAACCTCCTGGGCTCAACCAATCCTCCCACCTCAGCCTCCCATGTAGCTGGGGCCACAGGCATGTGCCATCATACCTAGCTAATTTTTTTTTTTTTTGATTTTTAGTAGAAATGAGGTCTTGCCATATCGCCCAAGTTAAACCTTTTTTTTTTTTTTTTTTTTTTGTTTTATCATCTTAGAGACAGGGACTCACTATGTTGCCCAGGCTGGTCTCGAACTCCTGGGCTCCAGTGATCCTACCGTTTAGGCCTCCCAAAGTGCTGGGATTACCAGCATGTGTCACCATGCCCAGCTTTAGCTTTAATCCCCTGATTTTAAAATGAGGAAGTCAGCTAATTGAATGCACCAATGCTGATTACATTCTGCAGTCTATTAAACTATAAAACTCCTATCAGGCATACTTGACTTTAAGCATTAAGACTGGTCAGTAATCTTTAATACACTTGGTTTCTGAGTGTTGAGCTCTATTGTAGCAAAGTAGGATTATATTACAATTGATCCATTCTTGTTCCTCTAATGGAATTTGAGCCTGGATAATCTGGAGCAACTACTCTTCCCATGAAAGACATGGCCTATGAAATTGACTCACTATTTAGATTGCCCTTGAACCATGAAACATCTGGGGCATATATGTTTTTCATAGACCCTGCAAGCAGAGGAATGACAGGAGGGTGGGAGCAGTGGGGGTTAAGTGGTATTATAGAATAATTTCAATATTTCATCACCAGGAAACCCTTTAAATTTCTTCTCTCCATAGACAATGTGTTTTGAATGGCTTTATTTGTCAAATATATTGCTCTCATTATGTAATAACATTTCTATTAATCAAAGATATATAGCTGTCAGAACTACAATGTGATAATTCGCATCATACCAAGTTAATTTAATGGCAGCCAAATCAAGAATATTTCTGTTAACTTGTGTACATTTTTTAATGATATGTAACGTCTAACAGGCTTTTAAAATATCAAAAACGCTGGCTGGGCATGGTGGCTCACACCTGTAATCCCAGCACTTTGGAAGGCCAAGGCGGGCAGACCATTTGAGGCCAGGAGTTCGAGACCAGCCTGGCCAATATGGTGAAACCCTGTCTCTACTAAAAATGCAAAAATTAGGTGTGATGGTGCATGCCTGTAATCCCTGCTACTCGGGAGGCTGAGGCAGGAGAATCGCATGAACCTGGGAGGCAGAGGTTGCAGTGAGCCAAGATCGTGCCACTGCACTCCAGCCCCTAGGCGACACAGCAAGACTCTGTCTCAAAAAAAAAAAAAAAAAAAAAAATAGAGTTTTAGAAGTGAGAGTAAGAGGCAACATTTCAAGAGGTAATGGCTTAAAATTTTCCAGAAGTGACAAATGAATCTACAAATATAATATACCCTACAAATTGCAATTGCAATTAGGAAAAATAAATAAAAATCTCCACGAAGATGCACTATGGTAAAACCAAAAAAATCAACAACAAACAAAAGCAGCCACATCTAGAACCAACTACCAGTAATCAGGAAAAGAAATAAAGGCACATGTTAAACTACCATGAAGATGCAACCATCCAAATCTAAAATGTGGAAAATTCATAAGAATATCCCATTTCTTCAACAAGTAAATGACATGAAAAGAAGTGGGAAATGTAGGTGGATCTAAGATTAAAAGAGACTTATGGTAAGCAACATTTATTATAGTAAGCAAGAATATAAAGTGCAAATTAATGATCAAAAAGACAAAGGATCCAGCCTGGGCAATAGAGCCAGACTTTGTCTCAAAAAAGAAGAAAAAAGAAAAAAGGATAAGTGTGGGCAACGAATGTGGAGAAAAGAGAACCCTTTCACACTGTGATAATATAAATTAGTACAGCCATTATGGAAAACAATATAGAGGCTCCTCAAAAAATTAAAAACAGGGCTACCATATGATCCAGCAATCCCATTATTGAGTATATATCCAAAGGAAATGAAATCAATATGTCAAACAAATATCTGCACTCTCATGTTTATTGCAACATTATTCCCAATAGTCAAGATATAGAATCAACCTAAGTGTCCATCATCAGAAGAATGGATAAAAAAAATATGGTAGGGCTAGGCGAGGTGGTTCACACCTGTAATCCCAGCACCTTGGGAAGCCAAGGGGAGTGGATCACCTGAGGTCAGGAGTTTGAGACCAGCCTGGCCAACATGGCGAAAACCCAAAATAGCCAGGTGTGGTGGTGTGCGCCTGTAGTCTCAGCAACTCGGGAGGCTGAGGCAGGAGAATCACTTGAAACCAGGAGGCGGAGGTTGCAGTGAGCCAAGATCGTGCCAGTGCACTCCAGCCTGGATGACGAGTGAAACTCAATCTCAAAAAAAAAAAAAAAAAAAAAAGATAAAAGCAAAATCTGTGACAACATCGATGAACCTAGAAGACATTATGTTAAGGGAAATACACCAGACACAGAAAGATGAATATCACATGTTCTCATTTACATGTAGAATCTAAAAAAGTTGATTTCACAGAAGTAGTTAATGGAACAGCAGTTACCAGAGACTGGGGAGGGTAGGGAGAAGGAGGGGATGGGAAGAGGATGGTCAACGGGTACAGAGTTACAATTAGGAAGAATAAATGCTGGTATCCTATTTTACAGTAGGGTGACTATAGTCAAAAATAAGGTATATCTCAAAATAGCTAGAAGAAAGGATTTTTATGTTCCCACCATAAAGAAATGATAAATGTTTGAGATGATGGATATGTTAATTACCTTGAATTGATCACTACACAATGTATACAGGTATTAATACATCATATTGTATCCAATAAATATGTACAATTATTGTGTGTCAATTAAAACTTTTTAAAAATTAAGTACATCATTTTTATTATGACATTGTACAGGTTTTATGGAATATAGAGAGTTATTTCCCATGTTTGAAGAATTCCCATCCTATGAGTCGTGATGTACCAAGAGTACCACCCAATATAGAAATTTAAAAATCACTTTCCCAGGCTCCCATATACCCAGAGCATAGACATGTTAACTCAGCTCTATCGATCAGAATTCTCTTGCATTGGACTTTGAGCCTGAAGGGTGAATCAAAAGAAGTAGGAATTTTGTGGAATCAATGCTGGGACAGGGGGCAGCCATGGTGGCAATGACTTTTCAGAAGGAGCAGTGGTTCTAGCAACAACATCCAGTATCTAGCACTGATAATGGTGAAAGGAGCAGCATCTGTGTGTAGCAAGAGCAGCAGCAGCAGCAGAAACAGGTGTCTTTATGAATCCAGTTCTTGTGTGATTTTGGAAATATTTCCTGCATGAGCGTTTCCAAGTGTGGCTTTCCAACCCCCCTGCAGAGCCTGAGATATCAAAATAGTCATTATTAAAATCACTCTTAGCTAAAACAAAGACAAACAAAAAACCCATGGGAAATAAGAATGGATATTTAACAAACATATTAACCAGAAGCACTTCCACAATAGCAGAGTAAGGACATCCAAAAATCTGCTCTGTCAAAGTGTGTCCAGAATTGGTTCCTTCCAGTGGGTTCTTGGTCTCGCTGACTTCAAGAATGAAGCCACGGACCCTCGTGGTGAGTGTTACAGTTCTTAAAGATGGTGTGTCCCTTCAGATGTTCAGATACGTCGAGTTTCTTCCTTCTGGTGGGTTCGTGGTCTCGCTTGACTTCAGGAGTGAAGCCGCAGACCTTCACAGCGAGTGTTACAGCTCTTAAAGGCGACGGGCATCCAGAGTTGTTTGTTCCTCCCCATGGGTTCATGGTCTCACTGACTTCAGGAATGCAGCTGCAGACCTTCGCAGTCAGTGTTACAAAGAGTGAGCAGCCGCAAGACTTATTGTGAAGAGCGAAAGAACAAAGCATCCACAGCATGGAAGGGTACCCCAGCGGGTTGCCCCTGCTAGCTGGGTGGCCAGCTTTTATTCCCTTGTTTGGCCCTGCCCATGTCCTGCTGATTGGTCCATTTTACAGAGTGCTGATTGGTCTATTTTACAGAGTGCTGATTGATCAGTTTTTACAGAGTGCTGATTGGTGCACTTACAAACCTTTGGCTAGACACAGAGAGCTGATTTGTGTGTTTACAATCCTTTAGCTAGACAGAAAAGTTCTCCAAGTCCCCACCGGACCCAGAAGCCCAGCTGGCTTCACCTCTCAAAAGCAATGAGGAGAAGTGGCAAAAATGGTCAAAATCAACATTTTCAGAACTCTGGATAATAGTCTTGCAACAATCCAAGGAGTACTTTTTTTCAAAGGCTTTATTTCAAGGCCAGGTGTGGTAGCTCATGCCTACAATCTCAGCATTTTGGGAGGCTGAGGCAGGAGGATCGCTTGAAGCCAGAAATTAAAGAGTATCCTGGGCAACATAGAGAGATCCTGTCTCTACAACAAATTAAAAAAAAAGAAAATTGGCCTGGCACGGTAGCTCACGCCTGTAATCCCAGCACTTTGGGAGGCTGAGGTGGGAGGAACACGAGGTAAGGAGATCCAGACCATCCTGGCTAACACGGTGAAACCCCGTCTCTACTAAAAATACAAAAAATTAGCTGGGCGTGGTGGCTCGGGCCTGTAGTCCCAGCTACTCGGGAGGATGAGGCAGGAGAATCGCTTGAACCTGGGAGGCAGAGGTTGCAGTGAGCCGAGATTGCGACACTGCACTCCAGCCTGGGTGACAGAGCGAGTCTCCGTCTAAAAAAAGAAAATTAGCTGGGCATGGTGGCACGTGCCTGTAGTACCAGCTACTCAAGAGGCTGAGGCAGGATCGCTTAAGACCAGAAGTTAGAGGCTGCAATGAGCAATGATCATGCCACTGCACTGCAGCCTGCCAGGACCACAGAATGAGACTATCCGCACCACCTGCCCTAAAAAAAAAAGGGGGTTTTATTTCAGTAAGAACAGGGAGCTTTGTGTATTCTCATCCTCCTCTCTCCAGCTCCATGGTAGCCTTGAAAACCAACATCTCTGCAACTACAGTGAATACAAAAACCAGATGCTTAGGAACCACTGGGACACAACGGATTTAGAGCACCCCACAAAAACCAATTCCTATAGAACTGCAACTATTTGACCTACCTAATAATTCACTGAAACAAGCTCTATACTCAAATTTGTCCTTATCTCACCTCAGAGCTCACTCAATGCAAAAAGCCATAGCCCTAGATTGAGTCTCAAAAACATTCGATGGCAATTGTTTAACATCACACGCATCTGAGGTGGCAATATGAGTTAGGGCTAATTAGAGACTGACAAATAAAACCAAGAAATAAAAACTGGGAAATAAATTATCCATTGAGGGCTTTAAAAATCTCCAACACATTCTTGAGACTCTAGAAGGCCATACTTACAGGCAGACCTGTGCACATGCCCAGGAAACAGCTGAGAAAGGGCTAATCTCTCACTGTTGCTTGACCTTGAGGGTCTACACAAGCAGGAAGAGAAGGCTAACTCAGAATTGCTACCAGCCTGCTGGAGCATCAAAGTCATTCCCCAATACACTCAGAGAGCCCCGCGACAAAGGCTTGTAGTCTTATTGCTTCAAAGCATTTAAGGAAAACACATTAAGTGAAATTGACAGAATTCAAGAACAACAGTTGTAAACAATGAAACTTCATTTTGAATAATGGATAGAACAACCAGGCAGAAAATCAACAAGGAAACAGAAGACTCAAACAACACTATAAAACAACCAGACCTAATAGACATCTATAAAACACTTCTCCCAACAATAGCAGAACACATATTCTTTTCAAATGGACATGGAATATTCTCCAGCATAAGCTGTATGACACATTATTTTTAAAAAAAGCCTGAATAAATTTAGAAAGATTGAAGTCATACAGAGTATTTTCTGTGACCACAATGAAATCAAATAAGGACTTAGCAAAAGGAAATTTGAGAAATTCACAAGTATGTGGAAATTAAACAACAAACTCCAAAATAGTCAATAAGTCAAAGAAAAAATACAGGGGAAACCGAGAAGTAATTTGAGATGGATAAAAACTAAAACAGCATATGAAACTATGGGATCCAGCTAAGTTAGTTCATGGAGGAAAATTTATAGGTGTAAGTGCCTATATTTAATTAAATTAATTAATTTATTTATTTGAAACAGAGTCTCGCTTTGTTGCCCAGGCTGGAGTGCAGTGGCACAATCTTGGCTCACTGCAACCTTCGCCTCCCAGGTTCAAGCGATTCTTCTGCCTCAGCCTCCCAAGTAGCTGAGATTACAGGAATGTTCCACTACGCCACTATGTGAGCTTGTTTTTGGTATTTTTTGTAGAGACTGGGTTTTGCCATGTTGCCCAGGCTGGTCTCAAACTCCTGGCCTCAAGCAATCCACCTCGGCCTCCCAAAGTGCTGGGATTACAGGTGTGAACCACTGTACCCGGCCTGACATCTTGCTTTTTAAATAAAATATTGGGACTGGGCATGGTGGCTCACACCTGTAATCCCAGCACTTTGGGAGGCCAAGGCGGGTAGATCACTTGAGGCCAGGAGTTTGAGACCAACCTGGGCGACATGGCAAAATCCGGTCTCTACAAAAAATACCAATAATTAGCAGGGCCTTGGTGGCCTGTGCCTATAGTCCCAGCTATTCAGGAGGCTGAGGTGGGAGGACCACTTTACCCTGGGAAGCAGAGGTTGCAGTGAGCCGAGATGGCACCACTGCACTCCAGCCTGGGCAACAGAGTGAGACCCTGTCTCAAAAAATAATAATAATAATAATAAAATAAAATAAAAAGTAAGATGTGAAATCAATAACTAATTTTCCACTTTAGGAAACTAGGAAAAGAAGAACAAATCAAACTCAAAGCCAGGAGGAGAAATGAACTAATAGGATTAAAGTGAAAATTAATGATATAGAGGATATAAAAACAATAGCGAAATCAACAAAACCAAAAATTGGTTTTTGAAAATCAACGAAATTGACAAACCAATAGTTATATTGGCCAATAACAAAAGAGAGAAGACTTAAATAACTAAAATCAGAAATAAGAGAGGAGACATCAATACAGACCTTACAGAAATAAAAAGGAATATAAGAAAGTACAATGAACAACTGTATAGCAACAAATTAGATAGCCCAAATGAAATGAGTAAATTCCTAGAAAGCAAAAACTATTCAAATTAACTCAAGAAGACATAGAAAATCTAAAGAACTCCAGTCTGGGTGATAGAGCAAGACCCTGTCTCAAAAAAATAAAGTAAAATAAAAACTAAAACAAAAAGAAAATCTGAATGGATATATAATAGGTAACGAGATTGAATTAATAATTTAAAAAGAAAAACTTTCCATGAAGCAAAGTCCAGGACTAGATGCTTCCAAGGTGAATTTTACCACAATGTTTAAAGAAGAATTAACACCAATTCTTCACAAATCCTTCTAAAAAACAAGCGAGAACTCTTTGCAATTCATTCTATGAGGCTAGTATTACTCTGATATTAAAGAATGACATAGACATAACAAGAAAAGAAAACTACAGACCAATATTTCTTATGAATACGTACACAAAAATTCTCAAAACAAACCCCAAGCCTGGGCATGGTGGCTTATGCCTATAATCCTAGCACTTTGGGAGGCTGAGGCGGGCGGATTGCTTGAGGTCAGCAGTTCGAGACCAGCCTGGCCAACATGATGAAACCCCCATCTCTACTAAATATACAAAAATTAGCCGGGCACGTTGGCGCATGCCTGTAATCCCAGCTACTCAGGGGGCTGAGACACGAGAATTGCTTGAACCCAGGAGGTGGAGGTTGCAGTGAGTCAAAATCGCCCACTGCACTCCAGCCTGGGTGACAGAGTGAGGCTCTGTCTCAACAAGAACAAAAACAAAAAACCCTAAAAGTTAGGAAACTGAATCCAGCAATATATAAAAAGGATTATACACGATGAACAGAAGGGATTTATCCCAGGAATGCAAAGTTTGTTTAACATCTGAAAATCAATATACCACACGTATTAATATAAAGAAAACCACATGCTAACCTTAACAGATACAGAAAAAGCACTTGACAAAATATAATACCCTTCCATGATAAAAACAAATACACACAACAAACTAGAAATAGAAGGTGTTATCAAGTAAACTGTGTTCCCCCTTCAAATTCATATGTTGGAACCCTAACCTCCAATGTGGTTGTATTTGGAGACAGGGTCTTTATGGAGGTAATGAAGATTAAATGAGGCCGGGCGCAGTGGCTCACGCCTGTAATTTCAGCAGTTTGAGAGGCTGAGGCGGGCAGATCACTTGACGTCAGGAGTTTGAGACCAGCCTGGCCAACATGGTGAAGCTTCGTCTCTACTAAAAATACAAAAATTAGGCCGGGCGCAGTGGCTCAAGCCTGTAATCTCAGCACTTTGGGAGGCCGAGGCGGGCGGATCACGAGGCCAGGAGATCGAGACCGTCCTGGCTAACACGGTTAAATCTGTCTCTACTAAAAATACAAAAAATTAGCCGGGCGCGGTGGCAGGTGCCTGTAGTCCCAGCTATTGGGGAGGCTGAGGCAGGAGAATGGCGTGAACCTGGGAGGCGGAGCTTGCAGTGAGCCGAGATCGCGCCACTGCACTCCAGCCTGGGCGACAGAGCGAGGCTCCGTCTCAAAAACAAACAAACAAACAAAAAAACAAAAATTATCCGGGCGTAGTGGTGCATGCCTGTAATCCCAGCTACTCACGAGGCTGAGGCAGGAGAATCGCTTCAACCCAGGAGGTGGAGGTTGCAGTGAGCCGAGATCGCGCCACTGTACTCCAGCCTGGGTGACAGAGCGGGACACTGTCTCAAAAAAAGAAAAGAAAAGAAAGGTTAAATGAGTTCATATGGGTGGGGCCCTAATCTAAGGGGACTACTCCCATTATAAGAAAAGGAAGAGACATCAGATCTCCCCCACTTCACCAACACAAACGCAGAGAAAAGGCCATACGAGGACACAGTGAGAATGCAGCCATCTATAAGCCAGGAAGAGGCCTCAACAGAACCCAATCCTGCTGGCACCTTGATCTTTGGATTTTAGTCTCCAGAACTATGAGAAATAAATGTCTGTTGTTTAGGCCACCTAATTTGTGGTATTTTCTTATGGTAGCCTGAGCGGACTAATGCAGAAGGAATTTCCACAACCTGATAAAGACTATCTAAAAAAAAAAAACCCCACAACTGGCTGGGTGCAGTGGCTCCTGCCTGTAATCTCAGCACTTTGGGAGGCCAAAGTGGGAGGATTGGTTGAGCCCAGGAGTCTAATACCAGCCTGGGCAACATGGGGAGACCTCATCTCTACTAAAAAATAAAAATAAAAATTGCAGGGCAAGGTGGCCACGAACCTGTAGTCCCAGCTACTTTGCAGGCTAAGATGGGAGGATCACTTGAGCCCAGGAGGTCGAGGCTGTAGTGAGCTGTGATCGTGGCACTGCACTCCAGCCTGAGCAAGAGAGCAAGATCCTGTCTCAAAAAAAAAAAAAAAAAAAAAAAAAAAAAAAAAAAGAAAGAAAGAAAGAACAAAAGAAAGAAAGAAAAGAAAAAGCAACAGTAAAGCTGATTTTTTACTCTTTTGACTTCTGAATAGAAACCGTGAAAAACAGTTAACAGTGGAATGATGTGCTGAATGTGTTGAGGGTAACTACAACTGAGAATTGCCAATCAGTCAAAATTCTTTTAAGGTTGGAGGTGACTCCAGGTGCAATGGCTCATGCCTGTAATTCCAGCACTTTGGAAGGTTGAGAGGGGAGGATTGCTTGAGCTCAGGAGCTCGAGACCAGCCTGGGGAACATAGCAAGATCCTGTTTTAACAAAATGTTAAAAAATTAGCTGAGTGTAGTGTGCGCCTATGGTCCCAGCTACTCAGGAGGCTGAGGTGGGAGGATCACTTGAGCCCAGGAGGTCAAGGCTGCAGTGAGCTATGATGGTGCCACTGCACTGCAGCCTAGGAGACAGAGCGAGACCCTGTCTCTAAAAAAAAAAAAAAAAAAAATTGGGGTGATAAAAGACATCTTCTAATCTTCTGCAAGAAAAAAATTAACACATAATCACCAGAAAGCTGTCACCAAAGGAAATTCTAAAGCTAATTCTAATTGTAGAAGATAAGTGATCCCCCAGGGGTACATAAAGGAATGAAAGGGAAAGAAGGTGGTATAAATGTGGGAAAATGTAAATGACATTGATTACTGTAAAAAACTAAATGTTCATAGAGGAGTATATATTTTTGTATACATGCCACCAGTTTTATAACATCATGGATAAAATTTAGTTTTCAGAGTTTTATTGTTATGAAGACTATAAACCTCACTGTACAATATTCCTTATTCCTTTGGATTGCGGTAATTGTTGGTTGTACATTTCCCAAAGTAGTATAATTTATCACTATTGCCATATTGCTCTCCAAAAACACTGAATAATCTACGGAGCTACTTACAAAATTTTTGTATTAATTAATTTGATTTTGTTATATTTGCCAACATTGGTCTTAACTTTTTTTTTTTTTTTAGCTTAAGAGAGATGTAATGGTAACTTAAAGTTCCTTTAGTTTTCTTTCTTTTGAGAGGGAGTCTTGCTCTGTCGCCCAGACTGGAGTGCAATGGCGCAATCTTGGCTCACTGCAACCTCTGCCTCCCGGGTTCAAGCGATTCTCCTGCCTCAGCCTCCCGAATTGGTAGGATTACAGGCACCTGCCACCAGGCCTGGCTAATTTTTCTAGTTTTAGTAGAGGCGGGGTTTCACCATGTTGGCCAGGATGGTCTTGATCTCTTGACCTCATGAGCCACCCGCCTCGGCCTCCCAAAGTGCTGGGATTACAGGTGTGAGCCAATGTGCCTGGCCTAGTTTTCTTTCTTTACCTTTTAATATGACTGAACTAATTAGTAGTTCCCAAAAACGCAAAAAAAAAAAAATTTGGATTATTTGCCTTATAAGTTTGTCATTGAAGCAGGGTATTTTGACTGTCAATGTGACCATTCAGAATATTTAATATACCACGATTTCTTCTTTGTAATCGTCACAGTGTGGACAGTTATTTATACAGAAACTAAGTGTGTGGGAAAATTAGATTAGTAATATATTAGAGCATCTACTACAATGGATGAAGCTGAATGATGAAAAAGGAATTACTCATTATTTCTCATGGATTTTCTAAGAAAAAATGCAAATTATTGGCCAGGCACGCGGTGGCTTACACACTTTGGGAGGCCGAGGCAGGCGGATTGCCTGAACTCAGGGGTTCGAGACCAGCCTGGGCAACATGGTGAAACCCCGTCTCTACTAAAATACAAAAAATTAGCCGGGCGTGGTGGCGGGCACCTGTAGTCCCAGCTACTCCGGAGGCTGAGGCAGGAGAATGGCTTCAACCTGGGAGGCAGAAGTTGCAGTGAGCAGAGATCATGCCATTGCACTCCACCCTGGGCAACAGAGCAAGTTTCTAAAAATAACATCTCTTTTTAAAATTTTTATTTATTTTCTTTTCTGGTTCATGTTCTCTCATGAACATCTTTTCTCACTGCAGCCTGAACCTCCTGGCTCAAGTGATCCTTCTGCCTTGGGCTCGCAAAGTGCTGGGATTATAGGCGTGAGCCACCTCACCCAGCCATAAATTTTCTTTTTATTTCTCTGAAATTATTTAATCAGAATCAGTTTTTTTGTAATTTATCTATTTATTTTATTTTATTTCGAGATGGAGTTTCACTCTTTTTGCCCAGGCTGGAGTGCACTCGGCTCACTGCAACCTCCGCCTCCCGGGTTCAAGCGATTCTCCTCCCTCGCCTCCCGAGTAGCTGCTAATACAGACGCCTGCCACCACGCCCGGCTAATTTTTTTGTATTTTTAGTGGAGACGGGGTTTCACCATGTTTGGCCAGGTTGGTCTCGAACTCCTGGCCTCAGATGATCCACCCGCCTCGGCCTCCCAAAGTGCTGGGATTACAGGCGTGAGCCACCACGCCCGGCCCTATCTATTTTTTTAACAGGCTCTCGCTCTGTTTCTCAGGCTACAGTGCGGTGGTACATTCACGACTCATTGCAGCTGCAAACTCCTGGGCTCAAGCAATCCTCCTGCCTCAGCCTCTGCCCGCCTCAGTGTGTGGTGTGTGCCTGTAGTCTCAGCTACTCTGGAGGCTAAGGCAGGAGGATAGCTTCAGCCCACGAGGTCGAGCTGCAGTGAGCCATGACCACATCAATGGACTTCAGCCTGGGCAACAAAGCAATACCTTGTCTCAAAAAAAAATTTTTAGGCCGGGCGCGGTGGCTCACGCCTGTAATCCCAGCACTTAGGGAGGCAGAGGCGGGCAGATCACGAGGTCAGCAGATCGAAACCATCCTGGCTAACACAGTGAAACCCCGTCTCTACTAAATATACAAAAAATTAGCCGGGCGAGGCGGCAGGCGCCTGTTGTCCCAGCTACTCAAGAGGCTGAGGCAGGAGAATTGCGTGAACCTGGGAGGCGGAGCTTGCAGTGAGCCGAGATCGCGCCACTGCACTCCAGCCTGGGCAACAGAGGGAGACTCTACCTCAAAAAAAAAAAAGAAAAAGAAAAAGAAAAAGAAATACCCTATTAAATATACATGAAAGATTTTAAGTTGTATCCTGATTTCAGAAATATTAATATATGAAAAAGATCATTTTAGGAAAAATAACATACCATATGTCTCTGGTTCTTTTTTTTTTTTTTTTGAGACGGAGTCGCTCTGTCGCCCAGGCTGGAGGGCAGTGGCGCCATCTTGGCTCACTGCAAGCTCTGCCTCCCGAGTTCACGCCATTCTCCTGCCTCAGCCTCCCGAGTAGCTGGGACTACAGGCGCCCGCCATCACGCCCAGCTAATTTTTTTTCTACTTTTAGTAGAGACGGGGTTTTCACCGTGTTGGCCAGGATGGTCTCGATCTCCTGACCTCGTGATCCGCTCACCTTGGCCTCCCAAAGTGCTGGGATTACAGGAGTGAGCCACCGCTCGCGGCCTTGTCTCTGGTTCTTTTTTTTTTTTTTTGTGGTGGAGTCTCCCTCTGTTGCCCAGGCTGGAGTGCAGTGGTGCGATCTCGGCTCACTGCAAGCTCCGCCTCCCGGGTTCACGCCATTCTCCTGCCTCAGCCTCCTGAGTAGCTGGGACTACAGGCGCCCGACACCACACCCGGCTAATTTTTTGTATTTTTAGTAGAGACGGGGTTTCACCGTGTTAGCCAGGATGGTCTCGATCTCCTGACCTCGTGATCCGCCTGCCTCGGCCTCCCAAAGTGCTGGAATTACAGGCGTGAGCCACCACACCCGGCTGTCTCTGGTTCTTAAAGATTATCCTTAGACTCCTGCTCCCCTCGTGCAAGCTGCAATCATTTCTGCCCCTATTTGTTAGGATCCTGACCGCCAATGAGTCGACAGTCTCCTCCTCCAGACTTTTCTTTACATTTCAAAACTCAGGGTAGTATATTTTGGGGGACAGGAACAGTGCTAAATATATTCGCCTGCTAACATACTTAATTCTCACAATAATCCTGATGAGAGAAATCCAGTTTAGAGCCTTGTAGAGTAACTTGCTCCATGAATATCTGTTAATGAAAACCTCAGCAAGGACAAATGATTTGCCCATGTCTTGTCCTGTTAGAGACAGAATTCAAACCTGACTGGCTAGAAAGCCTGTGCCCTTTTCTGTACATCAACCTGCATGCCAGTATTGTGTTCAAAGGTGTTTTCCCTATCTTGGATTCCTGTGGAAAAGTTTATCAAGACCATCTATGTACCAGTTGATCTATAAAATCTCAATGCTTATTCGTTTTCTTTTTCTTTTTTTT